>NC_000003.12:172644967-172796483 GCF_000001405.40 Homo sapiens | reverse complement strand
GCCTGCAGTTTAGAAGATGGCTGATAAAGAAACAGATTCTGGAATTAAAAATTAAAACCTACTGCAATTTTATTAAAAGCTGATCAATACTTCAAGTAAAACTCGTTGTAAACATAGAGATTCAGACTTTGGTCCTATATCAATCAATGCACTCCTGACACCAATGTTTAATTTTTAGAAAAAACTTACAAAGAAATCCTTTCCAACCCCATCAACCTGATCACACATAAACCTTCCTTTATAAAGCCCAGCCTTCATAAACCCTCTTTGACTTGTTTAGATCTTTCATCATTTTCTCAAACACCTAGTCTTAGTCCTATAATTTTTTGATACTGGAACAACCATTTTGCCTTAGGACAAAAATTTATCACAGACATTTTAAAATTATTATTTAACTAAAAATACATCTTTATATCCATAACTATCTTTGCATCTCTCTCTCTCTCCCACACTGGTTTTTCCTCCAATTTTTTCTTCTTAAATTTATATTTTGAAACAAACTTTAAATAACCTGTGAATTTGACAAAATCATTGTTTTTTAATTAAAAAACACATTGTCCTCTTATAATTTTATGTGTATTAACAGATCTAAGTATATTTAGTCTTTTTATAAAATTTAAGAAGCCAAGAACAAACCTATTTATTCAGCAATTCGTTTTTGTTTTTTCTCTTATTTGGATATGACTCAGGCATTTAATGAGCTCTCTATTACTTAATTTAATGTAACATAACTTAAAGATTTCAAATTACTTGCAAAGTTTAGTTATAAATGTTTATCCCATTTACAGTTACATAAATTTTTTAGCAATTATGCCTAGATTCATTATGAAAATTGAGGTATTAGAGCTAGTCATTATTTTGTTATTTTTATTAATCAAAATTATAACCTGTTAATATCAGATATTTACCTAAGTAAGAACCTAAAGTGAAATACATGGGTATGTTGTAAATAACTCAAAAGATACAGCTGTTTTTATTAAATCAATAATAATGTTAGTTTAAATCAAAGAATTACATGAAGATCATTTCATTTTAGGCTGGACTTAAAGCTCCATGACTTTAAAACATTTAGCAGCAACAAACATAAAACTGTCTAACCACTAATTCCAAGCAAAAATGTATTTTGACAATTTTGAAAATTTTTTTTTTTTTTTTTTTTTGATAGCGTCTCACTCTGTCACCCAGGCTGGAGTGCAGTGGTGCAATCTTGGCTCACTGCAACCTCCACCTCCTGGTTCAAGCGATTCTCCTGCCTCAGCCTCTGAGTAGCTGGAACTACAGGCGCACACCACACCACCATGCCTGGCTAATTTTTGTGTTACAATAGCATCAAAAAGAATAGAATACTTAAGAATAAGTTTAACAAGAAACCCAAAGCTTATCCTCTGAAAACCACGAAATATAGTTGAAAGAAATTAAAAGTAAATAAATGGAAATATTCATAAATCAGAAGATTTAATATTGCTAACATAGGCCAAGTGCGGTGGCTCATGCCTGTAATCGAAGAACTTTGGGAGGCCAAGGTGGGTGGATCATCTGAGGTCAGGAGTTCGAGACCAGCCTGGCCAACATGCTAAAACCCCATCTCTACTTAAAAAAAAATTAGCCAGGTGTGATGGTGCGCACCTGTAGTCCCAGCTACTCGGGAGGCTGACGCTGGGGAATCACTTGAACCCGGGAGGCGGAGATTGCAGTGAGCCGAGACCGTGCCACTGCACTCCAGCCTGGGTGACACTGAGACTCCGTTTCAAAAAATAATAATAATAATATTGCTAAGATAATACTCCTAAAATTGATGTACAAATTCAATAAAATTCCTATACACATTCCCCACAGTTTTGTTGTTGTTGTTGTTGTTGTTTGGAAACTGACAAGATGCTCCTAAAAGCCACATGCCAAATTTATGGAACTCAGAATAGTGAAACCAATTTTGAAAAAGAACAAAGTTGGAAGACACATACTTCCCAATTTCAAAACTTAAAGTACAGTAATCAAGGCAGTGTGGTACTGGCATAAGCACAGACATACAGATCAATGAAGCAGAATTGAAAGTAAAGAAATAAACCATTACATTTATGGTCAACTGATTTTCAGCAATGGTACAAAAGCAATTCAGTGGAGAAAGGATACTCTTTGCAACAAATACTGCTAGAATAGATTTCCATATTTTAAAAAATGAACTTCAATCTATACCATGCCCCATATACAAAAATTAACTCAAAATGGATCATACACCTAAATGATTTTTACCTAAAGACTAATACCACAAACATTCTTAAAGAAAATAAGAAAAAAATCCTTGTGACCTTGGGTTAGACAAATATTTCTTAGATAAAACTATAAAATCACAATCCATTAAAATAAAATTTGCTAAATTAGACTTAAAAATCTAGAACTCTTATTTTTTCAAGAAATTGTCAAAAGAAAAAAACAAGCCAGAAACTAGGAGAAAATATTTGCAAATCATATATCTTTTTTTAAAAAAAGCCTTTTAACTCGAATATATAAAGAACTCTCAAAATTCAATTACAAAAAAAACACAATTTTTTTTTCAAATAAACAAAAGATTTGAACAGGCATATCATCAAAGAAAGTAATATGACAGCAAATAATCACATGAAAAGACATTTAACATCATTTGTCATGCAAATGCAAATCAAAACCACCAGGAAAGACAACCAAACATCTATTAGAATGTCACAAATTAAAATGACTGGCCAGGCCAGGTGTGGTGGCTCATGCCTGTAATCCCAGCACTTTGGAAGGCTGATGTGGGTGGATTGCTTGAGGTCAGGAGATCGAGACCAGACTGGCCAACATGGTGAAACTCCGTCTCTACTAAAAATACTAAAATTAGCTGGGCATGGTGGCAGGTGCCTGTAATCTCAATTACTCGGGAGGCTGAGGCGGGAGAATTGCTTGAACCTGGGAGGTGGAGGTTGCAGTGAGCAGAGATCGCGCCACTGCACTCCAGTCTGGGCAACAGAGTAAGACTCCATCTTAAAAAGTAAGAATAAAAAAGTAAAAAATAGGCTGGGCGCGGGGGCTCACGCCTGTAATCCCAGCACTTTGGCAGGTGGATTACGAGGTCAGGAGATCGAGGCCAACTTGGCCAACATGGGGAAACCCCGTCTCTACTAAAAATACAAAAATTAGCTGGGAGTGGTGGCACGTGCCTGTAATCCCAGCTACTCGGAGGCTGAGGCAGGAGAATCGCTTGAACCAGGGAGTCGGAGGTTGCAGTGAGCCGAGATCGCACTACTGCACTGTAGCCTGGAGACAGAGTGAGACTCCATCTCAAAAATAAATAAATAAATAAAAATAAATAAAAAATGAAATCACTGACCATACCAATTGTTGGTAAGGATGTGGAAGCTCTGGAACACCACACACTGTTGATGGGAATGCAAAATAATACAACCGTCTTGCCAACAGTTTGGCAGTTTCTTAGAAATGCATATACCTTGCTGGGTGCAGTAGCTCCACCTGTAATTCCAGCACTCTGGGAGGCCGAGGCAGGCAGATTGCTTGACTCCAGGAGTTTGAGACCAGCCTGGACAACAGAGTGAAACCCTGTCTCCACAAAAAATACAAAAAAGTAGCCAGGCATGGTAGGACTGCACCTGTAGTCCCAGCTACTCAAAAGGCTAAGGTGGGATGATCACTTGAGCCTGGGAGGTGGAGGTTATAGTGAGCCAACATTACACCACCACATTCCAGCCTGGATCACAGAATAAGATACCACCCCCTCCACCAAAAAAAAAGGAAAAACCTACTATCTGACCTACCATTCCTATTCCTAGGAATTTATTCAAGAGAAATGAAGGCATATGTCTATACAAGCTTGTTCACAAATTTTCACAGCAGCTTTACTTGGAAGAGCCAAGAACTGGAAACAACCAAAATGCCATCAACATGAAAATGGATGAACTGTGATATAGCCATACAATGGAAAATAAAAGTAACTATTGAAATAAGCAACAATAAGGACTAATCTCAAAGTAATTATGCTGAGTATAAAAAAAAAAAAAAGCCAGATAAAAGACTCCACGTACATAAAATCATAGAAAGTGCATATAGGCATCCCTCGCTTTATTGTGCTTTACTTTATTGTGCTTCACATATAGTGTTTTCTTTGTTGTTGCTGTTGTTGTTTCACAGATTGAACGTTTGTAAGCAACCCTGTGTCAAGTAGGTCTATCATGTCATTTTTCTAACAGTACATGCTTACTTCGTGTCTCTATCACATTTTGCTATTTCTCTCAATACTTCAAACTTTCTCATTATTATTTTATCTGTTATGGTGAGCTGTGATCAGTGATCTTTGATGTTACTATTGTAATTGTTTCGGGACACCACTAACAATGCCCATATGAGACAACAAACCTAATTGATAAGTGTGTGTGTGTTCTGAGTGCTCCACCAACTAGCCATTCCCCTATCGCTCTCTCTCCTCTTGCTTCTCCATTCCCTGAGATACAACAATATTGAAATTAATAACCAACCCTACAAAGTCCTGTATTTAAGTGAAAGGAGGAGTCACACATTTCTCACTTCAAATCAAAAGCTAGAAATGATTGAGTTTAGTAAGAGAAGCAAGTTGAAAACAGAGATAGTCCTAAAGCTAAGCCTCTTGCACCAAGCAGCCAAACTGTGAATGCAAAAGAAAAGTTCTTGAAGAAAAATGAAAAGTGTTACTCCAGTGACATGAATAATAAGTAAAACAACCTTAATACTGATATGAAGAATGTCTGAGTGGTCCAGACAGAAGATCAGACCAGCCTTAACAATCCAGAACAAGCCACTATCTAATTCAGACCAAGTTCTTAACTCTCTTCAATTCTGCAAAAGCTGAGAGAGGTAAGAAAGCTGCAGAAGAAAAGTCTGAAGTTAGCACAGTTGGTTCATGGAAGTTTAAGAAGCCATTTCTGTAACATAAAAGTACAAGGTGAAGCAGCAACTGCTAATGGAGAAGCTACAGCAAGTTATCCAGAAAATCTAAATAAGATAATTGAAGAAGGTGGCTATAATAAACAACAGATTTTCAGTGTAGACAAAACAGCCTTCCAGTAGAAGAAGGTGCTTTCTAGGACTTTCACAGCTAGAGAGAAGTCAATACCTGGTTTCAGAGCTTCAAAGGACAGGCTGACTCTTTCGTTAGGGGCTAATGCAGCTGGTGACTGACTATGTTGAAGCCAATGATCACTGACCATTCTCAAAATCCTAGGGCCCTTACGAATTATGCTAAATCGACTCTGCCTGTGCTCTATAAATGAAACAACAAAGCATGGATGACAGCACATCACCATGGTTTACTAATTTTTTTCTTGAGACAAGAGTCTTGTTCTGTCATCCAGGCTGGAGTACAGTGGTGCAATTTTGGTTCACTGCAACATCCAGCTACTGGATTCAAGCAACTCTCGTTGAAATCCCACTAAGTAGCTGGGATTACAGGTGTGCATCATCACACCCAGCTAATTTTTGTACTTTTAGTACAGATGGGGTTTTGCCATGTTGGTCAGGCTGGTCTAAAACTCCTGGCCTCAAGTGATCTGCCCACCTTGGCCTCCCAAAGTGCTGGGATTACTGGCATGAGCCACTGCATCCGGCCCTGCTAAATCTTTTAAGCCCACTCTTGAGACCTACTGCTCAGAAAAATGTTCCTTTCAAAAGATTACTGCTTATTGACAATATACCTGGTCATCCAAGAGCTCTGATGGAGATGTACAAGGAGACTAATTTTGCTTTCATGCCTGCTAGCTCAACATCCAATTCTGCAGCCCATGAATCAAGGAGTAATTTCAATTTTCAAGTCTTATTATCTAAGAAACATATTTCATAAGGCTATAGCTGCCACAGATAGAACAGATCCATCAGAAGAATCACAAGAATCACTAAGTCAATTGAAAACATACTGGATGATGTCCAAAAGAACAAAGAATATTTTTCCAAGTAGAAGTAAGCAATGGGACATTTCAGTGCCAGGCTGCAGTGGACAGCCATAACAAAACCTCTCTTTTCTTTTCTTTTCATAGGTAAAACACTAGACTTTAGATTCAGCTGAGATGTGGTGTGTTACAAAGCAGGCCTTTCCTACAGGGGTTACAGAGGCCAGCCTTTCTTCCCTTGGTAGGAATGGCCTGAGCTGTGTTGTGGGGCAGGCCACTGATTTGTATGCTGTATCATTAGAGGGCATCAGCCAATTATCTTTTGCAGTTTCTATTAAACTTGAACTGACAAAAAAAGAAAGAAAAAGAAAACCTACTGGAAAGGATTCACCATCTGGGTTGCCATTTAAGACCATATGTCGGGCAGGTGAAGCTGAGCATGAGAGGTTGGAGGCATAAGCGGAGACCTCAGGGGAGGTAACTCTCAAGGTTCAGAGAGCCTGCAGTGGTCAGCAGCAGAGAGGCGAGGGAGAAAAAACCAAAAGCCAGAGCTCAGGCCAAGAAGAAGGCACAAATAAAAATGAAGAAAAAAAAAAATTTGTGAATCGTGGGAGGTCAAAACATCGACATTAATAGTTTGGAAGAAGTTGATTCCAATCCTTATGGATGACTTTGAGGGGTTCAAGATTTCAATTGCAGAAGGAATTGCAGATGTGGCAGAAATGGCAAGTGGACTACAATTAGAAGTGGAGACTAAAGATGGGACTGAATTGCTGCAATCTCATGAACAAACCCAAACAGATAAAAAAGCTGCTTCTTACATATAAGCAAAGAAAGTGGTTTCCTGAGATGGAATCTACTCCTGGTGAAGATCCTGTGAACACTGTTGAAATGACAAGAAAGGATTTAGAATACTACAGACACTTAGTTGATAACGTGGTGTCAAAATCTAAGAGAAGTGACCCCAACTTTGCAGTTTAATATGGGTTAAATTCTATCCAACAGCATCGCATGCTACAGAGAAATCATTCATGAAAGGAAAAGTCAACTGATATGGCCAACTTCATTGCTGTCTTATTTTAACAAAGTGCCGGCCGGCTGTGGTGGCTCATGCCTGTAATCCCAATACTTTGGGTAGCCGAGGTGAGCAGATCGCTTGAGTTCAGGAGTTTTTGACCAGCCTGGGCTACATGGCAAAACCCCATCTCTACAGAAAATATAAAAGTTAGCCAGGTGTGGTGGTGCACATCTGTAATCCCGGCTACTCAAGAGGATGAGGTGGGAGGAGGTGGAGGCTTCAGTGAGTTGAGACTGTGCCACTGCACTCCGGCCTGGGCAACCAGAGTGAGATCCTGTCTCAAAAAAAAAAAAAAAACAAAAAAAGAGAGAGAGAGAAGCAATTACCACAGCCATCCCAGCCTTCAGCAACCACGACCCTGGTAAGCAGCCATCAACATCAAGGCAAGATCCCCCACTAGCAAAAAGACTATAACTTACTGAAGGCTCAGATAATTGTTAGCTTTTTTTTTTTTTTTTTTGAGACAGAGTCTTGCTCTGTCATCCAGGATAGAGTGCAATGGCGCAATCTCAGCTCACTGCAACCTCCACATCCCGGGTTCCAGCGATTCTCATGCCTCAGCCTCCCAAGTAGCTGGGATTACAGGCACCCACAACCATGCCCAGCTAATTTTTGTATTTTTAGTAGAGACGAGGTTTCACCATCTTGGCCAGGCTGGTCTCGAACTCCTGACCTCGTGATCCACCCGCCTCAGCCTCCCAAAGTGTTGGGATTACAGGCGTGAGCCACAGCGTCCTGCCTGTTAGCATTTTTTAACAATAATTTTTCATTAAGATATGTACATTAATTTTTAAACATAATGCTACTGCACAATTCACAGGCTATAGTATAGTGTAAACGTAACTTTTATATGCCCTGAGAAATGAAAAAATTTACATGACTTGCTTTACTGGGATATTTCCTTTACTGTCATGGTTTGCAACCTAACCCACAGTATCTGGGGCATTCCTAAATTACAGTGATAGACGGTTGCCTTGGGAAGGGTAAAACAGGATGGGCCAGAAAAAGAGATTACCAAGGGGCATGAGTAAATTTTGGGGGTGACAGAAATGTTCTTCATCTTGATTGTGGTGATGGTTTCATGGGAGCATATGTGTGCTGAAATTAATCAAACTATATTTTAAATATGTGTAGTTTAAGAAAAAAGCCATATTTGAACTAAAAACATATCTATAACAAATTAATATTGAAAATCTAAGCATGTATAACTGATGTTGTTAGAATTCAATTTTAGGAGGCTTTTTTAGTTTGCTTAAATGGCAAGGACTAGTGAACTGGTGCTGTGTCATTATTTCCTATATCTGATAGGTAACAGTGGTTTTAATCAACCATAATAAGCATTAAATCTCTAGGCTAAATGTTCAAGAATCTCGAGAATTTAGATCTGGTAAAATTCTATAAGGCTTATTAATCAGCATCACAATTCGACATTAAAATATCAGGTCCTATAATTTAACATTTATTGAAAATCTATGAGAAAGGCACTTAGGGTAGGGATATACTAAAAATAGAAGTTCTCAAGAAACTTAATGTCTTACTGATTCAGCTCATTATCCCTACAGCAGCCAGCTTGACACTATTCTAAATAAGGCAACAGGTCAAATGACTAATCTATTTGCTACTTTTCCTTACTTACTTTATAATCTTTGCTTACCAAAATATATTGTACATAAATAACAAATAGCATAAGCCACTTGTAGAGTATTCTACACTCCAAACAGATAAATTGAGCAGGTAACAACCTCTCAGTTTCTTTTATAAAAATATGAAAACAATGACTGCCTACTTCATAAAGTTTGTTGAAAAGATCAAGGTAAATAATGTGTGTCAAGAGTATTTTAAACCATAAGGTGTTGAAAAATTACAGAGAATTATCATCATAATAGTCTCAATACCGTTATCCTGGTCCTAGGGGAAAAAAAGCAAAAGCATGATGGCTGGTTGGTGAACATACAAAATACATAAGCAAAAAAGAAAACAAAACAAAAAAGTATATACACTTGGCCCTCCATATCTGCAGATGCTGACTGTAGGGGACTTGAGCACCTACAGATTTTGGTATCTGAGGGAGTCTTGGGACACCTATTTACATAACCCATTCAGCAGCAACAAAAGCTGGTAATAACTAATTTGAGCATTACTGTCTCAAGAGAATGAGAGAGGTCTCCGCTGAATCCCCTCTCTAGAGCTAACGAAGTTTCTCCTTAAGAGCCCTTCTGGAAGTCTTTCAAGAAACTCTCATACAGAAGCACCCTGGCATCTCAGAAATCAATTAAACCTATTAAATATACTGATATATACAGTCCACTTAAAGTGCCTTCTCTGAGGCAAACCAGAAACAGTTAATGGTAAGAGAGTTTTCCACTCTGATCCTAACAGTCAGAAGATCATTTCTGATCAGTCCTCTTTCCAAGTTAGACCTATAGTAAGCAGCCTAAGTTTATGACCAAACTCCCCAGATCAATTTCATTGAATTTATACTTTTAATACATTTCCAACCAATCCCGCCAATTTAATTCCACAGAACTCTAGGTAGAAAACAAAAAGTTTAAAAATTAAAGTGAAAAAGTATTATAAACCTTTTCGTTTCACTGTGGTCACATTCTCAAGTTACATTTGGGCAATACACATTAATATGAAGACAGAAACAAGCTATGACTAGAGTTATATGAAGAAAATGCCTATTAGGGAATTTGTAACATTTTCAAGTTTCTAAACTATTATTCTCTGTGCACAATAGTTTAATAGCTTAGAAATAAATGTTTTGATTAATGAATGTATTCTTACAATACTTCATTTTAATGTGTAACTACACTATTAGAAAAATAATCTAGACATTTTACAAAAATTTGCTATTGATATTTTCCTATTTATGATTCTAGTTTTCTATCAATTCCATTCGAAATCTAAGGCACAATCAAAAATTGAAAATAATGCACTTACGTCATTACTTCCTTCAGTGATCCAATAGCTTTTTCTAAAGTGCTTTTGTCTGGATTTTCATCAGCTGTATGCTTCTTAAGATCTGTAATAATACAATGTTTTTTCCATGCATAAAAAATTCAGTGATTTCTCATCTAAGACTAAAATGCTGTCCATCTTGATACAGCTAATTTTTAAAGATAATATTCAATCCTTATTTTTTAAAAAGTTTTAAGCACTGTTCCCTAAAAAGCTCTCTTATTACACATCTGTTAAGGTTTCCATTTTTACTGACTAAATTTTCAGAATATGTAATCCTGATTTTCTTACACTGCTATTCCAATCCCTTCAAGTAATGCTTGGGGACTCCTAAATTCCTCAAAGTCTCTCCATAGTGCTAAATGAAAACACATGATCCTCAATAAGCTCAGAAATCATAATGTATTTTGTATTTCATACTGGGGCCCATGGCTACATCACAGAGAGCATCTGGTATCTTTAAGCACAGATTTTGTTACCTTAGAGATTTATACTTAACACGTTGACTCTTCTAATCCAGGTTATTTGTGTTCCCTATGCCATCCTTGGCATATTCTTATCAAATCTAGGTTTAATCTAGTACCACTGTCCACCTAATCTCTCATGTGGAATAATAGTAATAAAGCCTAGAAATCATTTTATTTGTAACATTTACGAATTTCTACAAGTACTTAAACAATAATGAAGGTATGCAAATCAGAAGAAAACCACAATGTTTTGGAAACCTAAAGTTTGTTCATATATTCTCCTTATAATTTGCAAAACAGAACAGTTTTAAATAGTGGACAAATCATTTTATAAGCCAGTAATTCTCAACTGTATTAGATAACTCTAAAAAACAAAAAAATTGTCAGATTTTTAGTTAGTACTATAATTCATATACTAACCAAGATTTTTACAGAAAATAACAGATTAAACAGTCACAAAATTTGCCTCCTTGTCTGCTGTATATATTAGTGTAGATTTAGCTTAGGAATTATATCTTTTATTATAGACTTTTTCCTGTTTATAATTTAGTTATCCTTCTTTTTTTTTTTTTAATTATTTTTAGAGACAGGGTCCCTGAATGTTGCCCAGGCTGGTCTCCAACTCCTGGGCTTACCCTCGGTCTTCCAAAGTGCTGGGATTACCGGCTATAATTTTGTTTTCATACTTAATTAAGAATAAAATAAAAACTGATACTGTCCTTAGCCAGCTAAATGTAACAAAATATACATACACATTTTTTACCACAGGCAAAATTTATTCATAAAAATTATCTGCTGTAAAACTCTATTGATACCTATAGTTCAGTTCTAGAATAAATAGATATGTTTCAAGAGTATTCTGAACAATCTAAGGTCAAAAACAGTAAGCATAAAGCCAAGTATATAGAACTTTACTAAAATTCAAAAAAGGGCTACAAAAAAGTCGGGACATACAAATTATCTTCTCCTTGTGATTTTGTGGGCAAATTTTGTATGTACTTGGATATAAAATGATTTTGAATTAGTGACACACCATGAAATATTAAGAAAAATTTTAAATGAAAAGACAAAATATATACTACTAATCAACAAATAAAATATTTCAGGCCAGGCTGAATTTTAGTAGCACCAGTAACTATTTTTTAAGATAATCCATAAAGCAAAACATATATAAACTTTAATGCTGAAATCTAAGAAACTCTAAAAATGAGAAGAAATTCATCTTTTTTGGAAAAAACAATTCCATTAAAATATCTGATGTAGTTTGAAACAGATCAGACAAGTACCATTTAAAAGTAATGCAACACTGGGTAACCTCTGTACTGGTCGGATAAGAAGTTCAACAAGGCTCTGCCGTCCACATTCTGGTTTTGCTTGGTTTATCTGAAAACAATTTATTCAACAATTTCAAAAAAGGTTTTCTGAAAAGATTATATGCCCTACTTTTACTGGAGTACACCTTATCATTAGTGTCTGTGATACAAACTAATAGAGAAGAAGTGGAATTTCTCCGTGGCTGATTACTTGGCTGAATAATTTTTCAGGGCCTGAAATGTCCTCTTGGCCAGCCAGTGGTTAACATCTTACATAAAAAGTGAGTTCCTCTACACACTCCTATATATCCCACCTTAAATTTTTCTTAAGTCTACATTATTCACAAGAAAAAGCACATTTAATATTAATTATGCTAATACCATAATAAGGAACTGGTAAGAAAAAAAATCATTAAAAGCAAAACAAATGTCACTGGAAAATCATTAGGTGTTTTGAGAACTAAAATACATAAAACTTTAAAAAAAACTTTTTGTAGAGATGGGAGTCTCACTATGTGGCTCAGGATGATCTCAAACTCCTAGCCTCAAGCAATCCTCCCTCATCAGTCTCTCAAAGTGCTAAGATTATAGGCTGACATTGGCCGGTGCACCCGGCCACAATTTAAAAAAAAAAAAAATGACCACATATAACATTCTTATTCACTCAGCTGCCTCCTGGCACCTAACACTGAATATATCAAAGCTTCCAAAGCTAAATATCATGGTCACCCATAAGTACAACTAAAATTAACAGATATTAATGGATACATTTTACTAAAGTTAAAATTTACTTCATTTTTGTCATAATTGTGGTGAATTACTTCAGAAATAATTCTCAAATTTTTATTTGAAAGAAACACACATTACCTTGAGAAAAGCATGAAATCTTGGTTTCTGTTTTTCACATTTAATAATTGTTTCCTTGCTCATTTCAAAGAAGTTTACAAAGGGAGGGTAGGTTTTTACCAAATCTTTTGACTAGGAAGAAAAGGGAAAAAAACATTATTTATTATGCATTTGTCACCCTTAGAGACAATGTAACTTAAAGTCAAATAATTAGTAGTCACAATCTGACATAGTGGATGCAAAAGTTTAAAGTAAATTTCTATGTTTGAGAACAAACTTATTTTATAAATTTCTCAGTAAAGAGTTAATTGCTAAACAAAATACATCAATTGGTATACATAGTCTAAAACAGGAAGACTCAGAAAAAAAACAAAAGATATGTTAAAGCTGATTGTATTGATACAAACATGACAAAGAAAATGTCTATGACTTTAAAAAATATCAATTACAGCTGATCTATGTAGATTCCAAAAGCATGGTATTTATTCAAAAATCCAAACCGCCATTAAAAGATCAGTTAAATTACCCAAAAATGCAAACAAGAAAAGGAAAACAATGTTGGCTGACTGAGAAAATTAAAAGGTTATCAAAAAAATGAGAAAATAATTTGTAAATTTTTAATTCTCAACCAAACTGAAAAAACACCTAAGAGATTATTTTGTAAGGAAAGAAGTTAGAAACCTCAAAAAATAAAAGTATAAATGCCAGTACTCAAGGCACTGAAACTTACAAATCCTATTTAAAGAGATTCAAAGAAACTTCTAAATTCTATTCACAGAACCTTGCCAAAATGAATTTATAAAACTTAAGTTGTGTGGTTCTTATCCTAGTAAGAGGCAGTTCATTAGAAGCCTTTAAATAGAAACAGACATGACAGCAAAAAGTGTTATCAACTAAGAAGGGAGAAAAATAAAAACTTTGTACATCTGGTAGAATTCAGCAATATTCACAATAGCAAGACATGGAGTCAACCTAAGCGCCCATCAATGATAGACTTGATAAAGAAAATGTGGTACATATACACTATGGAATGCTATGCAGCCATTAAAAAAAAAATGCGAGATCATGCCCTTTGCAGGAACATAGATGGAACTGGAGGGCATCATCCTTAACAAACTAACACAGGAACAGAAAACCAAACATCACATGTTCTCACTTATAAGTGGGAGCAAAATGATAAGAAGACATAGACACATAGAGGGGAACAACACATACCTGGGGCCTACTGGAAGGTGGAGGGTAGGAGGAAGGAGAGGAACAGGAAAAATAACTAATAGGTACCAGGCTTAACGCCTGGGTGACGAAACAATCTGTACAATTAACCCCTATGACACAATTTTACCTATATAATAAACCCGTACATGTACTCCTGAACTTAAAATGAAAATTAAATAATATATAAAATAAAAATACAATCTGTGGCCATTTATGAAAGGCAAATAACTTGATACATACTAAAACAATTATACCACAGCATGATAATTGGCATTCTTCCAATAATCTTGGGCTACTAAAGTGTTAAATTGCATACAGAAGGCATGTTTCAGAAGACAAAGAACATTTCCAATGTATTTTATAAACACAATCATATCAAAGTTTTAAAACCTCTCACATTTAAATAGGCAAATTACACTCCTTGCCAGTCCTTGATGAGATCATATTTTAATCTGAAAACTTAAAAAAGAAATACAATACTTACATATTTCAGAAAAATGTCACCAATGCTTTTGCTCTCATCCCAATTAACTATAAGGTCTTCAAGATCATCCTGAAATAGCACGAATTGAAATATTTAAAATTAAACCTGACAGCTCCTTATACAACTTTTATTATTTCTGAGATACTCATTGGAAAGAAGCACTTTACAAAGTGTCTTAATTTGATGTGTAAAATAATGAACATCCCATTCTTTCTCTTCAACAAGGAATTAACTTTTACTACAAAGAAAACATCCTTTGAAAAACATTTTTAAAATATAAAATGTAAAGTCGATAAGCCTAACTTTCCAATATGATGTGATAACTCAATATTTTTTATTAACTATAAAGCTGATTGGTGTTATTAATTATAGAAAACTACTTTCAATCCTGCTGCTGAAATCTAAGAAACTCTAAAAATGAGGTTTTTTTAATTTATTTAACATCAGTCATTAAAAACTGTAATCTCTAACAGGGGGTCAGTAAATTTAAAAGTGTGAATAAATGAGTGTGGCTGTGTTCCAATAAAACTTCTTTTAACCGAAACACGCAATGGGCTGGATTTGGCCCATGAACCATAGTTTGTTAATTCTTCATGGTCATTCTAAAATATTACTTCTTTGTAAAAACTTAGAAGAACATTTAAAAGCTTTATAATAAACAAACAAATCAGATGATAAAATGAGATGCCAAGAAATGACAGGCCCTAATTGAAATTCTAAGTGATTTTAAAGTAGACATCAATCAACAAGCTCTTATACTAAAGACTCTCTAAAGTTTCAACAAAGACTGCTGGGACACCCTTTCAGTGGGATCCCTGAGATTAAAATTATTTTTGTAATACTGCTAAAGCATTATTTGACTTTTTCACTCATTCTCTCACAAGTATACAGTTGTTTTCTGGAAGCTACATGATATGTGATATGCAACAGACTGAATGCAGAAGCAGATATGATAATCAGTCTTCTATTAAGCCAGACAGTAAAAAAACTACAATACTACCACTCCCCTTACTAATTATTTTTGTTTGGGAAATTATTTTTCTTAAAGAATGTTACTTGTGTTACCATGTAATGAGCTATTATTTTAAGTGAATTAATATAAAATTAGATATCCCACATGCAAAAAGATGAACTTAAACCCTCACCACAAGCAAAACAATTTTTGAAGAAAACATAGAAAACAATCTTCAAAATCTTGAGTTAGAAAAAAAATTTTTAGATATGAACTGAAATCACAGAAAAAATGAATACATTGAACTTCATCAAAATTTAAAACTTTTGTATTTCAAGAAAACTTGTATCTAGAATTTACAGAGAACCCTTACAACTCAAGAAGACAATCCAATCAAAAAACAGGCAACAGACAGTAGCCATTTCACCAAAAATAATATACAAATGGCCAATAACCATGTGAAAAGACACTTATCATTAATCATCAGGGAAATACAATTAAAGCCACAAGAGATGTCTCCTCACCCACTAGGATGGTTATAATTTAAGAAAAAAAAAGATAAGTGTTTTTAAAGAATGTGGAGAAATTGGAACTCTCATTCATTACTGGTGAAAATAACAACTGATGGGTCTGAGCTTCTCAGGAGGCTGACGTGGGAGGACCACTTGAGACCAGAGTTTGAGGCCGGCCTGGGTAATCTGGCATGACCACATCTCTAAATAAATTAACTAATTAACTTTAAAATAATGGGAAAACCCTGGCATTTTCTTAAAATTTTTAAATACAAAACTACCATATAGCTCATCAATGCTACTCCTAGGTATCTACTCAAGAGAAATGAAAACATGTCCACATGGATCTGCACACCACACTCTCACAGCAGCATTATTCATAATAGCCAAAAATGGAAACAATCTAAATGTCTATCAACTGGTGAACAGACAATTTAAAGTTAGTATAGCCATATAATGGAATATTATTTGACCAGAAAAAAAGAACTTCTAACACGCTACATTTAGATGAACTAAAAATCACATGCTAAGAGGAAACCATATATAAAAGACCACATACTATATAAACATATTTACAATACTATATAGTGTATCAAATAGTATATCTATATGCTATGTATATATACATAGTATCAATGTATAACATATTAAATATATAAAATGTCCAGAAAAGGCAAAATCATAGATACAGAAAGTACATTAGTGGTTGCCTATGGCTGGGTGTAGAAATAAAGATTAATTTTAAGTAGACATCTTATTTGGGGTGGGTAGTGAAAATCTCCTAGAGTGGATTTATAGTGATGGTTGTACCACTTGGTTAAGTTATTAAAATAACTGAATTGTATCATATTTTCTTTCTTTTTTTTTTTTTTGAGACAGGGTCTCACTCTTTTGCTCAGGCTGGAGTGCAGTGGCACAACTCACTGTAGCCTCAACCACCCAAGCTCAAGCAATCCTCCCACCTAAGCTTCCCAAGTAGCTGGGACTACTGGCATGTGCCACCACAGCCAGCTGTTTTATTTTTTGCAAAAATGGGTTCTCACTATGTTGACCAGGCTGGTCTCAAACTCCTAGATTCAAGCGATATTCCTGCCTCAGCCTTCCAAAGTGCTGGGATTACAGGCAGGAGCCACCAGGCCTGGCCTGAATTGTGTTATTTTAAATAGGTGAATTTAAAAACACGTAAGATGTACCTCAGTAAAGCTGTTAAAAAATAATACATGTTAAATAATATTTTAAAATTTTGAATACAGCAACTACCAATATATAAAATCCACATAGGTAAAACTTCTTCAATCTTTAAGAATGAAAAGGGATCCTGAAGACAAAAAATTTAAGAATTACAGTAAAGTTCAAAAGCGAGAAAAACTACTTTCAATAGCATAAAAGTAAACTCAAAGCAAGAATATTTTAACAGCCCACACACATCAAGAACTGGGAAGATTGAACTGTTCAGAAATGCACTTGAAAGAAAAAAAAGAAAGAAAAATATTATAAATAAGTCTAATCTTGGGGCAATATAATGCAGTGAATTCTGGCACTGACTACTGAGGTTTAAATACTGGCTCTTGGGCTTGTTACTTCTGTGCCCTTGGACAAGTTATTTAAGCTATATGTTCCTCAATTTCCTATTCTGAAAAATAAGGAATGTAATTATTCCTACATCATAGAGGATTTTATGAGCATAACTATCTGTTAGGGATTCCTCTAAATGCTTTACAAGTATTAATTCATAAACCTGTAAAATAAATACTTACATAAGAACATTGCTCTAAGAAAGCAAAATCATCTTTAGGCACTCTGAAATATAGTCTGCTCTGTTTCTGGTTAACTTTTAATTCCTAATGCTTGTTGAATAAAGATTGCTGTCTTAGGCCGGGTGCCGTGGCTCATGCCTGTAATCCCAGCACTTTGGGAGGCCGAGGCGGGCAGATCACAAGGTCAGGAGTTCGAGACTAGCCTGGCCAGCATGATGAAACTCCGTCTCTACTAAAAATACAAAAAACTAGCCAGGCATGGTGGCGCGTGCCTGTAGTCCCAGCTACTCAGGAGGCTAGGGCAGGAGAATTGCTTGAACCCGGCAGGTGGAGGTTGCAGTGAGCTGAGATTGTGCAATTGCACTCCAGCCTGGGCGACAGAGCGAGACTCCATCTCAAAAAAAAAAAAAAAAAAAAAAAAAGATAGCTAATAGCTCAGGAACTAAGTAATAAAGAAACTAAGGCTTAGAGAGATTAAGTAACTTTCCTCAAATCACACAGCTGTGAACCAGTATTGAAACTCAGTATTGTCTGACTCAGATTCCATGTTATTCCACAGTTCCTCCCCATTAGAAAGGGGGACTCAGTTTGGCAGGCGAGTCCCCAGTAGCTTTATTCATAATACCACTACTTCTTACAACATTTCTGAGGGAAAATGCCCGATACAATTTAGGACAGAGACTGAGATGTATTTCCTCCTCCTTGTCTATAATACATCAGAAATTCTCATAGGATTCTCTTAACTTTTCCTCTAAAAGAACGGACAATTCTACAGTTCTGAGACAGAGCAGATTCCAAAGCCTGGGCAAGAATATTAGATAAGTGGGGAAGTCATAAACAGATGGGGCTTAAGAAAGCTAAGCTACTTACTTCTTTTCTTCCTTGTTAAGATTTATTCTGCACTGTTAAGTAGGTAGAAACAGCGCAGAATTAATCTTAACCAGGGTTTCTCTTTTGCTGAGCTCATTGCACAGTAAGCCAACATACATGGGTTCCTGAAACAAGTACACAATTCTTTTGAGGCTTACGCTAAAATAACAACAGATATATATAAAAAGAAAAAGAACTCCTATCAATCTCTGTCTCTTGTTTCATCATAGTTGCATAGTTTTGAGACAGGGTCTCACTCTGTTGCTCAGGCTGGAGTGTAGTGGCATGATCTTGACTCACTGCAACCTCTGCCTCCTGGGTTCAAGCGATCCTAACACCTCAGCCTCCCGAAGAGTTGGAACTACAGGCATGCGCCACCACACCCAGCTAATTTTTGCATTTTTTGTAGCGATGGGGTTTTGCCTTGTTGCCCAGGCTGGTCTCAAACTCCTGGGCTCAGGCAATCCACTTGCCTCGGCCTCCCAAAGTGCAGAAATTACAGACATCAGCCACTGTGCCAAGCTAAGAGCAGAAAATTGTACATCAAGGATTAATGATGTTTAATCTTGAAAAAGAAAAATTCATACTGAGGAAAAGAGAGAGATGTATATAACAACCTCAAAAATTTTCATCTTACTCAAAACATCAGCTCACTAGACCTTGGAAGCAAAGTAAGGATGAGGCTTCTAAAGTTGTATACATAATACCTAGATAAGAAAATACAGTGAGTGCTAGTCTTAATTTTGAAAGTTAAAGGTAACACAACCATCATTTAGTAAACATTTACCGAAAGTAATCTAAATGCTAGACAGTGGGTGTAAACACAATGGGTAAAAAAAAGTTTTAACACTACAAAAAACTTAAGATTAGTTTGCCCAACTTCATGAGTCAGTTATTATTATCCCCATTTTATAAACAGGAAAACTGAAGCACTTAAAGTCACCTGACTTCAAACTCAATCAAATCTGCTTTGTTCAGGCCAAGCACAGTGGTGTAATCTAAGCACTGTGAGAGGCAGAGGCAGGCAGATTACCTGAGGTCAGGAGTTTGAGACCTGCCTGGCCAATGTGGTGAAACCCCACCTCCACTAAAAATACAAAAATTAGCCAGGTGTGGTGGCGCACACCTGTCCCAGCTACTAGGGAGGCTAAGGCAGGAGAATCATTTGAACCTGGGAGATGGAGGTTGCAGTGAGCCAAGACTGCACCACTGCACTCCAGCCTGAGCAACAGAGCGAGACTTTGTCGCAAAAAGAAAAAAAAAAAAACAAACCCGTTTTTTCCACTACATATTCTTAACCACTATGTGATATTATAAAATACAGACACCAATGTTTTCAGGAATGCTGTTATTGAGATGATACGAAAAACTGTACAAATTTAAGACACATTTACATGGTGTATTCATCTACATACCAAAAGAATGTATCTCAGCATGATTTTAAAGAAGCAAAATAGCATTAATAGTTAGGAGAACAGACTTTGAAGTTATACAAATAAAGGTTCAAGTCTTGGATCCAGCATTTATTAGATGACTGCCTCTGTAAAGTTATTCTCTGTGTGTACCGGTTTCACATTTCTAAAATGTGTACAATACCAACTTCTTGCTCAATAGATGTGGTAATGCTCAATAGATGGTTGGCTTCATTTAAAACAGGAAAAAAAACTGCTATGTGTTACGAGGATAAAGAAAAAAACCCAAAATTTTAGACATTTTTGGATAATGGAATTATGGGTATTTCTCTCCCTTTTTCCTTTTCTCTTGAGTTTTACAAATGTTTCACGGCACGTACTGGTTTCACGGTAGAAAAGAACATAAGCTTTAAAATTTTTAAATATTTGACAAACCTGCAATCAGCTAAAAAAAACAAATAGTTGCAGTGAGCTCAGATCAGGCCACTGCACTCCAGCCTAGATGACAAAAAAAAAAAAAAAAAAAAAAAGAAAAAACTGAAAAACTAATAGTTGAAGTACCATTTTACAAAAAAGAAGCTTAAAGAATTAAGTTACACTTGAGAAAACTAAAGGGTGACAAATTTTCAAAGCTTCACTGAATCAAAGAATATGATTTTCTAAATTAAGATTATGACTCTGCAAACATAAAATAACACATTTTGTCAAAGAAGGGTGTCCAGACTAGCTAAATAACTGACACAAATTCAAATTGATCCACAAAGTTAGCGGCAAAACACCAAGATAAAAACCTACTTGACAGGACAGTGACTTATGCCTGTAATCCCAGCACCTTGGGAGGTCGAGGCGGGCGGATCACTTGAGGTCAGGAGTTCAAGACCAGCCTGGTCAGCATGGCAGAATCCCAGATCCACTAAATATACAAAAATTAGCCAGGCGTGGTGGTGCATGCCTGTAGTCCCAGCTACTCAGGAGGCTGAGGCAGGAGAATCACTTGAACCCGGGAGGCAGAGGTTGCAGTGAGCCAAGATCGCACCACTGCACTCCAGCCTGGGTGACAGTGTGAGACTCCACCTCAAAAAAAAAAAAAGAAAAAAACCCACAAAACCTACTTGACCTTCCATTCTGCTTTTGTGCCACCCAGTAATTCTTACAAAACAAAAAATATTCCAAGAGTACTTTCCTCTTCAAAAATTCAGAATCCTAATTGGAATAGGATTAACTAGCCTGAAACTCTCTAGCTTTCTAAGCTTTTTAAACAAATAGATTCCTTCAGAGTTCTCTTTAGATCTAGAAATTAACTGAAATATGATCAGCAATACTGATAAAACACAAAATACAAGCAATTGGTAAATATCATTTTAAATAATTTATAGATCTTCTATTTTTTGTTTATAATGTATACTAAAATAAAAAACAATCTTATATATTTGAAAACATCCTGTAATTCCGATTGGTTCTTTTACTGGAATGTGACATAAATATTAATGTGAGTTATTTTGAAAAGAAAACTGATCAACTTTGCTCAAGTACTACATAGGTAAAATAAGAGGAAATAAAACTAAACTACTTACTTAAAAAGTAGTTTAAGAGTTCAGCTAAATCTGTTCAGGAATTATTTTAGTGTAAGAGATTGACACCTGGAATTCACAGGCCCTTCACCAAAGAGGACAGCATTGTCTCACATACTTTTGGCATTTACCTACCTATAAATGGAGAAGGGACTTAAATGAACTCTAAGTCCATTAGAGGTTTAGAGTTTTCAAAACAAGCCAAAGCAAAACAAAAATATACACCCCAAGAGCAAAAACAATAGGAACATAAGAAAAATAGTACTGGGAGTCACATGTTTCTACAGAATAGATTTCATAAAGCCTTAATTACTTGTTTGTAGGATTAACTGAAAATAAAAAACAGCAAACAAAGGTTAGGTGCAATGGCTCATGGCTGTAATCCTAGCACTTTGAGAGGCTAAGGCAGGAGGATCAGTTGAGTCCAGGAGTTTGAGACCAGCCTGGGCAACACAGCAAGACCCTGCCCTGTCTCTACAAAAAACTTTTTTAAAAAAATTAGCCAGGCATGGTTGCATGCAACTGTAATCCCAGTTACTTCGGGAGAGGCTGAGGTGGGAGAATCACTTGAGCCCAGGAGGTCAAGGTTGCAGTAAGTCATGATCAGGCCACTGCACGCTAGCCTGGGTGAGAGAGTATTCTCCATCTCGAAAAAAAAAGGCAGGGCATGGTGTCTCATACCTAAGATCCCCACACTTTGGGAGGCCGAGACGGGTGGACCACTTGAGGTCAGGAGTTCGAAACCAGCCTGGGCAGCATGACAAAACCCATCTCTACAAAAAAAATACAAAAATTAGCTGGGATGGTGGCACATGCCTGGGGTCCCAGCTACTCAGGACTTAGGCAGCGGGAGAATTGCTTGAGCCCAGGTGGCAGAGGTTACTGTGAGCCCAGATCACATCAATGCACTAAAACCTGGGTGACAGAGTGAGACTGTCTCAAAAAACAAAACAAAAGCAAACAACAAACATTATGAGGCACTGGAACAAAGAGACAAATGATTCAAAGGAACTAATAAGGGAATAAGAAGTTTTAGGTACAAAACTTATTTAGCTAACCAGAAGTACCTCAAAGATCATAATAAATATGTACAATCTGAAAAAAATTACTACCAATCTAACATATACAAATTTACCTTTATCTTAGTGTGTACATCAAAGATATCTGGGATGCTACCAAAAATAGTCTTAATCTCCTCTGGTGCAAGGATAGGTCCACCACGTTGTCCTTCCTCTTCCAATGGTACTTGAAATAACTAAATGAGAAAAAAGACTAGTTTAAGTAGATTGTGGGAAAAAGAAAAGAGCTAAAAGATAGACAGTGATAAAGGAGACACAAGATATTAATAGAGAAGGAAGTAATAATAAAAAATACTCTCCCTAAATTTGAGACATTTTCCCCATATTTTCTATTCTATTTTATGTACTCCATTTATATACCTGTGTATATGTATATACATATGCTCGTCATGAAATGTCATTAGAAGCAAATAAAACTTCACACAGTTCTGCAATCAATCATTAAAATTGTTAGTATGATACAAGAGTAATTTCTACTTTTGTATTCAAGTTACTAAGGATGAAAGCAACAAGCAATCTGCTGCCTCCAGACATATCTAATATATGTGCTAAATGTTTTAAAATTGTTAGTGTAGAAGCTTGGCTTGGGGGAAAGACTGGATTTGAAGCTAGAAGATCTGTTTGTATCTATGTTTCTGCTTGTATCAATCTAAAAAGTAAAAGAAAAAAACTAAGAACTAACAATGAGTTTGGCAAGGCCATAAGACACAAGGTCAGTGCATGCATATGCATGCACAGACACAAGTCAATTTTACTTCTATATACCAGTAATTTACAAATGGAAAATATAATGTAAATAGTATCACAATAAAAAAATAAAATACTTAAGTATAAATATATGTTCATGATGCTAAAAACTACAGTATACTGATGAAAGAAATCAAAGACAACCTAAATAAATGTAGACATATGGTCATGGATTGAAAGAATCAACACAGTAAGAATGTCAATTCTCCCTCAAATTGATTTATAAATTTAGTGCCAATCAAAGTTCCAGGGCTTCTGGCAGATATAGAAAACCTGATTCTAAAAATTTATATGGAAAGGCAAAGAAGCTTCTTACTACAAAGCTGTGGTGTTCTAGACTGTATGGGTATTCATGAGGGGAGAAACATACATAGATCAATAAAACAGATAATTCAGAAACAAACTCATGCAAATATGGTCAAGTAATTTTAGGCAAAGGTCCAAAAGCAATTCAATGCAGAAGGATAGTCTTTCAACAAACGGTATTACAATACCATCTGCCATAAGCAAAAAATGAATCACAGCCTAAATATAACACTTTATACAAAAATTAACTCAAAATGGGTCACGGACATAAACAAAAAACTTAAAACTATAAAACTTTTAGAAGAAAACAGAAGAGAAAATCTTCATGACTTAAACTTAGGTAAAGAGTTCTCATATATGATATCACAATCTATGAATGAAAAAAACTGTTAAATTAGACTTGAATAAAAATTTACTTTTCTTCAGCAAAAGACACGAGAGAATTTAAAAAATACGCTATGAATGACAAAAAAGCATTTGCAAGTCATGTTTGACAAAGGACTAGTATCCACAATATATAAAGAATTCTCGGCCGGGCACAGTGGCTCATGCATGTAATCCCAGCACTGTGAGAGGCCGAGGTGGGCGGATCGCGAGGTCAGGAGATCAAGATCATTCTGCCTAAGATGGTGAAACCCCATCTCTACTAAAATTACAAAAACAAAATTAGCCAGGCGTGGTGGCGGGTGCCTGTAGTCCCAGCTACTCGGGAGGCTGAGGTGGGAGAATGGGGTGAACTTGGGAGGCGCTCTGCACTCCAGCCTGGGCGACAGAGCAAGACTCAGTCTCAAAAAAAATAATAATTCTCCCAGCCTGGCCAACATGGTGAAACCCCATCTCTACCAAAAGATACAAAAATGAGCTGGGTGTGGTGGCACATGCCTGTAGTCCCAAGTGCTCGGGAGGCTGAGGTGGGAGAATCACTTGAACCCAGAAGGCAGAGGCTGCAGTGAGCCAAATCAAGATTGCACCACTGCACTCCAGCCTGGGCAACAGAGTGAGACCCTATCTCAAAAATTTTAAAGAAAGAATTCTCAAAACTCAGAAGGAAACAACCCAATTTAAAAGTGGGCAAAAAACACGAACAGTTATTTCAACAAAAAAGATATACAGATGTCAAATGAAGACAATATGTTCAACATCATTAGTCATTACGAAAATGAAAACTGAAACCACAATGAAAGATTCTATTTTTCCAATATTTCTCAAATCTATCCTCTTATCAACACTGATACTATCCTAAAAAGTTCAGATCTTCAAAATCTCTCCCAACTGCTGAAATAGCCTCTAAATTATCATTGATTCCCCAATTTCCCCTCTTGAATTCCTCCTTCAAAGTGAACCAAGTTATCTTTCTGAAATGCAAGTCAGATATTATTGATCTCTCGTCTCATAAAAAAATTATTCTATAGCTTAGATAATATAGCACACCACTCAAAGGCCTTCTCTAGATTGGTATAGGCCATCTCATCTCAACTGTCACTGTATCCATATGCCTACTACACCCTTGCTATTGATAATACAGAATGATCACTTGTATTGTTTACTCGGTCTCAAAGACACTTCTCATCTATATCCTCTACTTGTACCAATCATATTCATACTTTAAAATTCACTTCATTATGAATATACTCACCGTTTTGATTTTATAATAGTAACGACAAGCTAAACATTCACTATATTAAGACCACGCGTGTGTCTCAGACTTACCTTTCCCTAGGTCTGTTTTTATAAATGCTGGTGATAAACCAGCTCTGACTTATATGATCATTTTGTATGACCATCTAAGGGCTGTGATTCTATGTTACCTTTAGTCATCTTTAAGGAAAATGATAGTACAGCTAATCTAATAACTTTTGCAAATAATCAGTGCTAATTTGGAAACTTCTGTCAAAAAAAGGCATTACCAAAGGAAGGAAATTTCATGTGTACCAGCTGCTATTAAATAAACTGTGAAATTACTGTATTTTTCTAGAAAAAAAAGTTCACTTCGATCATTACCTTCTGTATGAAGCTTTTTCTGATGCACAACACACAGAAAATTCCAGGCCAATACCTTCCCTAAACTAAACGAGTAGTAAAACTCTCACTTTACAAATCTAATACCTTAACTCCTTTATTATGCTGATACCTTCCATTTGGTAATTATAATTGTGTATGTTTTATCTCCTCTTCTAGTATAAAGTTCTTTAAAAAAAAAAATCTTTAACACTTAGCACAGTACTTTATATTAATTAGGCATCCAAGTAGTATGTGGAATAAAGAAGCCTCTGGATATTCATTTAATTTTGAGGATAAGCTATAATTAAGTTATTCCAAATCCTATCCCCCCAAAAAGGAAAATATCAGTCCTAAAACAAAGCTCTTTAATGAGAATATTATCATGGGCTGGGTGCAGTGGCTCAGGCCTGTAATTACAACACTTTGGGAGGCTGAGGCAGGAGAATCACTTGAGCACAGAAGTTTGAGACCAGCCTGGGCAACATAGCAAGACCCCATCTGTATAAAAAAAAATTTTTTTAAGGAGAGAATACTATCATGAATTTAGGCCACAATCTTTTAAACAAACCTTTGATGAGTTTATACTAAGCAAAGTGGTATGAAACTTTCTCCAGTCTAATAATTTCGTGAGATTTTTTAAAAGGAGTTTTAGTGAATTTAATTGATATGCAAATTAGAATTCTGAAACTTCAATGCATTTTACCATGGCTTGAAAGAATTTACATTTCTAAGCAATAAATGCTACTAAAGTACATGAATAGTATATGCCAAAGGGATTTTTTGCTACTCAACCACATTTTGAATCATTATAAAAACTTCAACAAGAAACTCATCTATCTAGAGTGATTTCCCTTGAGAAGGAAGAGCAAAGGTGACTTAAAATAAAGCTAATACAGCAAAGAACCTCATAAAACCCTGACTGCTCCTAAACAAATAATTAACCATGAAAAATAACTTCTCTATGACCATCAAGTAAGAAGTCTTTCCATGTCTTATCCATGTATTTTATCAATGGTACAAGCAACTTAAAGGCTATTAAATTGGCCCTTAATGAGTTATTTTATGAATTCAAATAAAAGTCAATTAAAAACTAAACCCAAATCAGAAACTCCCTATTGTTTTCTATTGAAAGATAAGCTTGGTGTTACCAACTTCATTTTCTTAACAGTATGTCAACCTATCTCTTTTATTACCTAAAACAGATTTCTTCCTTCTTTCTACAGATACCAACATAATGGCCTATTATTGTCTTTTGGAATCTTAAATTTCAGTTTATTCCTTAATATCTTCTATAATCTCATCCTACAAGGATTCATTAGAGCTGTTTTCTTCAGAAATAACTTTATAGTACATTTTAATATTGGTAAGCAATGAGTTAACATCTATTTATGACTAACCACTGCATATTTCATGTGTCACATGAAATGATTACTGAAAAAAATTACTTATATCAACACTGTTATGCTTCATTGCTATTGTATAGGCGATGTTTTTCACATATATACAGTACTAAAAACAAAGCAATGACTCTCAGAACCCATACTTTCAGAAAAAGTTATCTATCACTTCCAAATATAAATGCAGTATCTTGACAAGGAACCTGCAAAATTCTGAATTAAACTTGATACTCCTGAGATCATCTACTGAGTTCTGTTCTCTTTAAAGTAATTATTAAAAATGGTCCTATTTCTGGATAAATAAAAGGTAATACTACAGTTATGACATTTCCCTAACAGCAGTTTTTGTCACACAATTCCATTTTTAACATCCATGTTCAAATACTATGTTTATATAATTTTCTCGTAAGAAACAATATCACCTAGATTTTTTTACTTAGGAACACTGGAACAGAAATCATTTTTCAATCAAACTCATACTTACCTGAATAATTGTTGCCAATATATTAACATAATTACTTTCAGTTTGATAAAGCTCTTTTGCAACTTGCCACCTTGCTGACTGCTTTGAAGGAACTGGAGTGGAGCTTTTAGAAGACTTAGTACAAGACTTTGGGGTGTCTGAAACGTTAAAAGGTGGAAAGATTTAATGGAAGCCAAATATAAATACCAAACATTATGTAGACTTAACAAGATAAAAAGGAGAGAAAACCTACTCTTATAAATGTACCACCATACAGATTTCCAATAAAAAATTTTTTTCTCATAGGCTAAGGCCAGAAAAAAATAACGGTCAAAAATATCACTGACTCCAGTTGGTAGGCATTCCACTAAACAGCCTGTACTCTTCAAAAACGTCAAGGTTATTAAAAACAAAGAAAGACTAAGGAACTGTTCCAGGTTAGAGAAGACTAGAGAGAGACAACCTAACAAATGTGTATCCTGGATTGGATCATAGATCAAAAAGAAAAACACTTTTTCCTTTTGCTAAAAAGGACATTAAGACTTTTTAGGATAACTGATGAAATCTGAAGTCTACAAAACAGTTCACAGTATTAATGTTAATTTCCTTACTATAATAATGTAGTAAGTAATGTAGTTATTTAAGAAATATGTCTCTATCATAGGAAATAGACATTTAAGTACTTAAAGCTAAAGGCACATCATGTCTGCAGCTTACTCTCAAACAGTATAGATATTAAAAATACATGTGCACGTGTGTATTATATCTGTGTTTAGAAAAAGAGAGATTTTGACTGAATGAATGCTAAAGCAAACATGGCAGAATATGTCCCTTTGGGAAATCTGGGTAAAAGGTATAGGAATCTTTGTACAGCTAAAATAAAAAAACAGAAAGGGAGATGTAAAAATACTTACATGTAAAGAGGAAAAGGTTGTTGTGATTACACAATTACAATAACGAAAACTTGTCATATACTTATGTCAAAAAGAAGCCCCCCCACAAAAAACCCAATATTAACTGAAAATTCTTTGGTAGTTCAAACTGTCTTAACGTAATATAAAACAACCAGTACAGAGTGGAAGGAGGATGCAACAGTGTATTTCATATACATTTCATGAAAGAAAAAAATTTGCGGCCAGGCACGGTGGCTCACTCCTGTAATCCCAACGCTTTGGGAGGCCAAGGCGGACAGATCACTTGAGGTCAGGAGTTCGAGGCCAGCCTGGCCAACATGGTGAAACCTCATCTCTACTAAAAATACAAAAATTAGCTAGGCGTGGTGGTACATGCCTGTAATCCCAGCTACTCAGGAGGCTGAGGCAGGAGAATCTCTTGAACCCAGGAGGTGGAGGTTGCAGTGAGCCTAGATCCTGCCACCACACTCCCACGCCACCACACTCCAGCCTGGCGACCAAGCAAGACTCCGTCTCAAAAAAAAAATCTATACACATATCTATAGATATATATACATCTTTTTAATGTATAAAAGCTTAAAATCTGTTTTCTTACTGTTAATATGGTTAGAATACTTTAACATTATATATAGAAGCACCTAATAGCAAGTTTTTCAACAGGAAAAGGAATGTATGACATAAAATAGAAATAGGTGACAAAGAACCATAATATATATTTCCAGCACATCAATTTTACTCAATGATAAACAATTTTAAATGCTTTTATATGAAAACAATTATGTACTATGGAGTTCTGAGTGCTTTTTTTTGGAGATGGAGACTCACTCTGTCCCCCAGGCTGGAGTGCAGTGGTGCCATCTCGGCTCACTGCAACGTCCACTTCCCGGGTTCAAGTGATTCTCCTGCCTCAGTCTCCTGAGTAGCTGGGATTACAGGCGCACACCACCACACCCTGCTGATTTTTGTATTTTTAGTAGAGATGGGGTTTCACCATGTTGGTCAGGCTGGTCTCGAACTCCTGAACTCGTGATCTGCCCTCCTCAACCTCCCAAAGTGCTGGGATTACAGGCGTGGGCCACCGCGCCCAGCCCCTGAGTGCTTTTTAAAAAAAACAGAATCTCAAAAAATTTCCCACTTGTCAAACATTATTTTAGGCTACACTCACCAGACCCAGAAGCCTCTGCCATTACAGAATATACTTCAGTGGGAAAAAATTGAGATGCACTGATCTAATTTAATTATTCTGTGTCTAGACAATGACCTACAAACTGGGGAATCTATTTTACAGAGCACCTAAAATATCAGTATAGTTGTCACATCTGTTTACTTCGGTGGTTCATTTTGTTCTCTTGTCTCCTAAAATGCATATTCAAGTTTCAGTCCTTTATGTTCTCCTCTTACCATCCCATGCTATTGTCCATTATGATTATAAAACTAGTACATTCTCAGATCTAATCATGATCTCCCTCTCAAGCTGGTTCAACTTTTCCAAATGCTTACTGGATAGTTCTGCCTTAATGTAACTTGGATTTCTCTAAAACTTCACTACCTCCCTCCAAAATATAAATTTCCTATCCATGCCAAGGCAACATTTCTTTCATTTAAATTAGTAATTTGCCTTCATCTCTTTTTATTTCCTCCCTATTGCTTTATTCTACCAATATTTCTCCAGTGCTTCTTACTTTTCTTTCCAACCACCACATACTCTGGTTCAGCACCTTATTATTTCATGGCCGAAGCGATTGTAATAGATTACATCATGGTCTGACTGTCTCCAAACTGCCTTCCTTCTAATCATTCTTCAGAACAACTCTCTATGAATTATCTATTCAATCAATTTCTCTGCTGCTCAAGGAGTTTCTAAAATTCCTTGTTGATGACAATATACAGTTCAGATATTACAGTCTTATTTGAAAGTGACCTAATATTAGGCCTCAATTAACATTTTTAACTTTTATTCCTCCACATTCCAAGCAAACTGATCTATCCATTATTCTCTAAAAACTCAGTTTGTATGCTATTATCTGTATATTTGCTCCTCTTTATATTCTCAAATTCATTTCAAATTTCTGGGCCAACCTTGAATTCACTTTCAGTTCTTCCCTTAAGTATTTAGTGAATACCCACTTTATACTAGGGTCTGAGGATAAACACAGAATAAGACAGACAAGGTTCATTTTCTCTTAAAGATTACTTATTTGAAGCAAATCAAATAATAAAGAAGTAAACAAGTACTGTAATTTCTATCGTAAGAACTACTACTAAAAACAACTACCAGGTCACAGGATTGGCAGAAAGGAGTGGAGGGATTTAACTTTACAGACAATCCACGCAGATTTCCTTGAGGCAGAGAAAGTAACAAAGTCCTGAGGTATGGATGTACTAAAAATATTTGAAGAATAACAAAGATGGTATGACTGAAGCTTAGAGAGTACAGGCATTATTAGAGAGCATAATACCACATGAGATTAGGCAGATGAGGGCAAGATTACATAGGGACTTAAAAGCTACAGTAATAGAAAGCCATTAAGTGATTTTAAAGCAGAGGAGTGGCATCATCTAATTTATATATTTTTAAAGATTTTTCTAAGTGTTGCATATAGAAAGGCACAAATTAAAAGGGAGAGACTATTTAGGAGACTACTGCAATCATCTAAGAGAGATCCTTTTTACAGAAAAGACTGATGAAGAGGAGCAAAGGAACAGAGGAATTAAGAGTGGCAGAATCCAAAGGTCTAATTTGGTTATCTTAGGTTTAAGATATCTATTAGACATGGACAAGGAAGTACAAAGTAGGTAGCTTGACAGGGAAGAGGACAAATTTGGGAGTCATCAGCATACAAATGCTTTTCAAAACCATAGATTTTACTACGATAATTTAGGGAGAGTACAATAGAGAAGAAACAATGACTCAGGAGGAACATACAACATTTAGAATTGAAAAAAAGAAGTTAGGCCAAGGAGAATGAGAAATGAGTAAGTAATATCACAGAAGCAAAGAAAAAAAATTGTGTCCATAAAGGAGTAGCTATTCATGTGTTGAATGCATAAAAACTGTCTCCCCAACAAGGACTGCAGATCAGTTGGAATGCGTTGAAAGGACAACGAGAATCAAGGAAATGAGACAATAGATCAAAGTAATTCTTTTAAGTATGCTGATGTGAAAGCAAACAGAAAAATGGGACAATAAGTGAAAAGTGTCATGAGGTCCGGAGGAGATTTTGATTTTTTTTGTTTCTTAAATCTAGAAAACACATTTGTTTACAGACTAAAAATCAAAAAGAAAGGGAAATACTGATAACCAAGGAAGAATTATAGGAGCCTTTCTGTATCAGTTCAGCACAAAGTGAACTCACCCTCCTCTGACTTCATTCTACCTATTTTCTCCATAATTTATGTGACCTCCCCTGTGACTTTGTTTGCTTTTTGAACAGCACTATCACTCTCTAGTTATATGACCCTGGAGAAATTACTTAACTTCTCTGTATCTCAGTTTAGTCATCTGTAAAACAGGAATAATAAAATCTATTATAAACACACAAAACGTATAAAGCATTTAGCATGTAGTAAGCAGTCATTAAATTGCAACATTATTAAGCTTAACTATTCATGTGTCTTTTCTCTACAGCTAGAACAAAGGTAATTAAAGGCAAAGACTTCCATATTCACTATATCAGGGATTTATCTAAATTCTAACAATTATTCCATTCCACTAAACTTTAAAGACAAGTTTTTAAGAATGTGAATTACCTCCATAGTTAATGCTAGACTCTGGTGTGTTGGAGATATCTAGGAGTGACCCTATGGAAAGGGAATGCTCAGCTGATGGGCGCTTACGGGGTGGAAATGGTGACACGTCTGTCTCTCTTGAAAGCTGAGCAAGTGTTTCTTTTAAACGACGTCGTTTGCGATTGCTGTTAGGGGTATTTAGAGAAAGCATTGACACTGATTTCTTGAGCTCAGGAGTATTTGCCTGTAATCAAAAGCACACAAGCTCAATTTACTTCCATGGTTCTTTACTGAGACAGGAACAAGAGAAAAATATATTTACAAGTCTGACAGAATCTGGATTTTGCACAATAATTTTATAACCCTACACTCTACCAGGCAATTCAAAAGTTTCATAAAACATAATAGTCAAGAGACGACTGTAATTGTCTAACCTCAAGCACCTCATTTTTCTTCATAGCCACTATCACTATTATATTTTCATCTGTAAACTTGTTTACTACCTGCTCCTTCATTAGCTCATCAACTCCAAGAAGGCAGGGGCCATTCACAGTCTGTTCGCTGTATCCCTAGCACAGTGCCTGGACACAATGCTTTCCAATATGTGCTGAGTAACACTTGATTTTTAAGAGTTCTCTCCCTAAATCTAAAGCACACTTTTTAAACTTTAAGAACTTCACATTTCAAAGACTCTGAAGAGAACACAATATGGTACTATATAGATTTTACAGAAACAACTCATCTTCAATATTCCACACAAAGTTATTAAATCCTAAACTGAAGTAAATCTTCCCTTAAAGACTACTTCCATAACTTTGTCATTTTGGTGAGTGATACTACTCTTCACCAAGATTCACCATAAACACTAGATTTTCCTTAACGATATTCTACTATCAAACTCATCTTTTTAATGACGTCTCTCCCCTTACTCTTCTTCAATGGCTCCCAATAGTTATAGGATAATATCCAAGCTCATTAATGTATTAAAAACTTCTTGATTCTATCTATCCATTAAGTTTTATCTGTTGGCCTTCCTTCCCACACTGTAAAGCCATACTAAACTACTTGTTATTTTAATGTACTCTCAAAGCTTTCATACCCTCTCCCAATTGGGGTTCTAACGAATGTCCTTACCTAGTTGGCCTAGTAAGTTGGGTCAACATTTATTTCACCTTTTTATTCCCTCCTGAGTCTCTCAGAGCGAGGCTACCTAAAATACATTACTCAGTTGTGGCACACATCATTCCCCATCGTTAACTACGTACAAATCTATCTTTCCATTAAAAGTCTAAGTTTCTGAAGATAGAGATGTTCTTGTTCGTAATGTTATCACCAAGAATTCGCACAGAACAACATATATTAGGTTAAAATAATACACATTACATTGAATAGTTCCACTTAAATCTACATAGACTAAGATAACTTGATATCCCAATTGTTTTAATCATTCTGAAATTCCTAAACATGCTTCTAAACCTTCTGGACAGAAAAGTGTTATTTTCAAACAATCAAGCTCACAGAACAAATAAGTAAGGGGTTAAAAGCATACCTTTTCATATAAATACATAGTTTCTCCAGCTCGGGCATCCATTTGAATGCTTCCCCAGAACCACTAGGTGAGAGAAAAAACATTTTAATAAACAGTTTACATTTATTTTATCAGAGAAGCTATTAATAGTGTTTTTAAAAACCAACCTCATTCTAGAATTACTTGCCTCTTGCTTGACAACATAAAGTTTCTTTGAAGGTTCAAAGGGAAGATCTTTTACTATATTCTCTTCAACTACAAGGTGAGTGCATCTTTCATCTCCAAGCGGTAAATATTTACCTCCTAAAAAGGAATGCACATAAGCATAAATAAGCCAAGCTACTTATTTCCAAACTCAAATTTTTTAAGAGGTATATTGACCAGGAAGTGATTAAGCAGGCCTAGGGACTAAAATAGATATAACTTTTACATTATGCTAAATTTTACCTTGCATTTCAGTCATTTCTTCCATATTGGTTTTCTCTTCATCTGAAAATCCCAGGAAACTTAAAATACAATCTTGAAATGGAGGAACTTTAAATTCATTTCTAAAGTCATCAACTGCTGCATAGAAATCCCTAAAAACAAAATACACTCTTCCAAAACCAGTTTAACTTAAATTCAAGTGTTAGGTATATCAATTTACAAACCTACAGTAATTTTCAAGGTCTTGGCATAATCTATCTATTGAAACTATTTAATATTTGGTCCTGAAATGCTCACAAAAACTTCAGTTTAAAAAAATGATGTGTCCTGTCATCCCAAAAGTAACTTCTGACAAAATGTGATCACAGATAAGCTTTACAAGAGATTCAAATTTTTTCTCTATTATTTGAAGATTTATATGTACTGTGTTCCAAGGCTTTCATGAAATCTAAAATAATGATAACTTTCATGAAATCTTAATTCATGAAGTGCCACAGCAAGAAATCATGCGCTTGGAAAACTAAGCAAAACAAGGCAATAAATTTCAAGCACCAATTAAAATGTAACCAGATAACACAAAATTTTAAAAATATGTAACAAAATCCAAATACACAGAATTATTTAGCTATTATCTAATAATTTCAGAATGTTTATAATAGCCAAAATTACTTCACAAGGTAAAATCCAAAGATATCAAAGATATCTTTCAATTTTTAATTTTTTATAATTTTTTATAACTTGTTCTCCCTAGATTTTATTCCTCAAGCTACTCAGACTGAATTCAGTTTTTATATCTATGAAATTACTTTTTTCAGCACATGGATTTATCTTTAAACCAGAATGTTTAATTTACATAATGAACTACTGAGTTTCTAAACACTTACTGTTCATTCCGCCTTTCCCAAGCTTTATAAATCCATTCTGGCTTCATAATTGGAGTACCTAGACTCACAGCAACCTAAAAATATAAACATTACAGTGAATTTTCTCCTTAAATAACTGCATTCAAGGAAGTTCTAAACAGTTAACATACTTAATTTTTTGCAGTTTTAGATCACTATCTGCTTTGTAACAAAATAATTTAAAAATTAACAGACAAACTATCTTCCAATCATACAAGTTAGGGTAAAATAACTTCAAAACAAGTTCCATGGTGTCCGAACTGTTTCCTTATTTTAAATAAATATATCTCTGAAGTTCATCTTTATTAAATTTCTATTTCTCCTTTCTTCACGTTTACTTCCTTGAAAGTATGACCCTCAAGATGGCACTACAGAAGAAGACATCCGACTAAGTCACTAAAACCTTAGATATGAGTTGAAATATTTAGGGTAAATTGAAGAGTACACTAAAATTACCATTTGCTACACAAATACACTAAGGGAGACTAAGAAAAAATGATAAACTCTTGCTAAGACATTCAACTATAATCTTAAACTAAGATTCAATCCTAGTGAGAGTATTTTCTCCTATTATAATATTCACAAGTTAAATCTTAGAACCACTTTATAAGAGCAGAGCTCTGTTCTTATGAAGGGCACTTAGACAGCCAGGCACAGTGGCTCATGCCTGTAATCCCACCACTTTGGGAGTCCGAGGCAGGCAGATCACCTGAGGTCGGGAGTTTGAGACCACCCTGGCCAATATGGTGAAACCCTGTCTCTATGAAAACTACAAAAATTAGCCGGGCATGGTGGTGCGCACCTGTAGTCCCAGCTACTCGGGAGGCTGAGGCAGGAGAATGGCGTGAACCCAGGAGGCGGAGCTTGCAGTGAGCCGAGATGGCACCACTGCACTCCAGCCTGGGTGACAGAGAGAGACTCAGTCTCAAAAAAAAAAAAAAAAAAAAAAAAAAGGCACTTAGACAAGAGTAAATTCCCTACTTTCACAATTCCTACAATGTTATTCATCTACCAACCCCCACGATCCTAGTCATCTTTCAACACCTCACTCAAGTTCCATTGCCTACTTAAAACTTAACCACTCGGCCAGGCCTGGTGGCTCACGTATGTAATCTCAACACTTTGGGAGGCCAAGGCAGGAGGATCACTTAAGCCCAGGAGTTCGAAAGCAGCCTGGGTAACAGAGCAACACCCCATCTCTATTTAAAAAAAAAGAAAAGAAAAGAAAAGAAAGAAAATTTAACCACTCTTATGATTTAAAATTTTTTACTAAATATATTCATAGCAAAAATTGAGTTTCTCTTCTTTAATTGTGAAAGAAATAGATAAAAGACTGCTATTATTAAACCCATGCCAAAATAATGCTGTATTGAAATACACAAAAATACCCAAGTTTACATACCCTGAATTTTTCTCCTTGTGTACAATTTGCCACCAAATGTGTAACTTTTGAATTAAAGTCTTTTCGAATAACTCCACCCATGTGATGGACCAATGTCACCAACCTGACCTCAAAAGAAAAATTAAGCAACACTGACTTTATGGTTAATTTGAACAAAATTTTAAACTATGTTTACCCCACATTTAGCATTTGCTAAATACTTTCTATTTATAAAATACATACGGGATTTTTATAAAGCTATTAAATTTTATGTCAAAGTAAGTATAAAAAAGATTAGTTTGCCTATTAACACAGGCAAAATTATAGAGGTGGGATTAGTAAAGATTTCACACAAATGTAAGTTAAACAACCGCCTTTCCTATGGCCTAAATATATTGCTTTTTAATACCATACTGTGTAAATATATTGGTTTTTTTAAAAAAATACCAAGTTTTATCACATCAAGACTGTTCCCACAAAATCAGAGTAATACCCATCAGTTCCAACAACAAAGTATTGTGAACCAAAGAAAGAACTTTCTGGCCGGGCGCGGTGGCTCACGCATGTAATCCCAGCACTTTGGGAGGCCGAGGCAAGCGGATCACGAGGTCAGGAGATCAAGACCATCCTGGCTAACACGGTGAAACCCCATCTCTACTAAAAATACAAAAAAAAATTAGCCAGGCGTGGTGGCGGGCGCCTGTAGTCCCAGCTCCTCGGGAGGCTGAGGCAAGAGAATGGTGTGAACCTGGGAAGCGGAGTTTGCAGTGAGCCGAGATTGCGCCACTGCACTCCAGCCTGGGTGACAGAGCAAGACTTGTCTCAAAAAAAATAAAATAAAAATAAAAAAGGAACTTTCTATGAATTCTATAGGGCAACAGAATACTTTCAGGCTGAACTTGCATAATAAGAAATTGCAATGTATAAACAAAAACTTTAAATAACCAACGTAGCCAATATGGTAACAAGACAGTCAAACAGAATTGCTATGAAATCTTTCTATTAATTCACATCAGCCAGCCTAGACAAAACACTGGTCTCTTTATAAGGCTCTTCAGGATTTGTTTCTTCAGAAAATTTAAAATCTGGTATAGCCATAATAAGTTATCCTTCAATATTTTAAAAATAAAACCATAATACTAAAAAGAAAAAAAAGCCAATTTTAATTTATTTTGCTGTAAAAAATACGCTTTGAATTTGTTTCGTAATACTTACTAGTTCTTCTTTTTTCCTAAATCCAGTAAAGCATAGTACTAGATTCATCATACTTGTACAATACAACGGGCGACATGAAAATGGCAAAGGCTGAAGGATACAACAATTTTAAATGTGAGCTTTCTCTTTAGTAGAAAATACAACACAACTTTCTCAAGCTAAATATATTTCATTTCCCCTCTTGCCATTCAACTTTCCCAATCCAAAGATTTACTGGCATTTTTTCAATATGCAACAAAAAAACAGCAAAACGACAGATTGCAAGTTTCCCAATAAAAATATTTCCCGATTCCTTAATCATATGCAATATACATAATCTAAACACACTTTACTCTCAGCAAATTAAACAAATATTAAATGCACTCTGACAGACATGAAGTACTGACTATAAGCAAAGTTTTCAGACTCCATACACTACTATAGATGATTCTAATTAATGTCATTAAAACAGGTCAGAGGCATTTTATAATAAACACTGAGTAAATATAATACACACACTTAAACCAAATATAATTCTAATCTTTAAGCTAATAAATGGTGATATTCAGTAAATAATTTACCCAACGGTTGTGTGTGTGTGTGTCTGTGTGTGTGTGTGTGTATAAAAGAGAACGGTTTAAAAATAATAAAAGAATAAATTTGATTTTCATCATTATATAAGATTATTTTTCAAAATTTGGCCTTTTAAAGTTTATTTGGGTTTTGAAACCAACCACTCCAAATCAAAATGTAAGAGAATTAAAGGTTAACATGTGCTTATTATTACTAACATGTGTAACAATAGAAGTACAAAGACCTAAGCAATTTTAAGTAAACAAGGCAAGCTTAAGAATGCCAAGACAGCAACAAAACCAAATAGGGACTAACTCTCATACGACTCATATTGAAATGCTGTTTAAAAACAAAAAGAAGCGGGGCACGGTGGCTCATGCCTGTAATCTCAACACTTTGGGAGGCAGAGGCAGGAAGATAACGTGAGGTCAAGAGTTCGAGACCAGCCTGGCCAACATGGTGAAATCCTGTCTCTACTAAAAATAGAAAAAACTTAGCCAGGCGTGGTGGCATGCACCTGCAGTCCCAGCTACTTGAGAGGCTGAGGCAGTAGAATCGCTTGAACCCGGGAAAGCAGAGGTTGCAGTGAGCAGAGATCGTGTATTTATTTATTAAATAAATAAATAAATACAAAAAGCTAAAATAATTTTTGAATTTTAAGTTATACAGTAACTGATAAAAATGGAACCGTGGTATCTGTTCTGTGTTGAGAAAAATAAAAGTTTATGTATATGTATGAATTTCTGGAACCCAAGTTTAAGCAAGTAATCTTCTCTAAGACATTGTGGTATTGATAGTGTATACGCCAGGCGCAGTGGCTCACGCCTGTAATCCCAGAACTTTGAGAGTCCGAAGCGGGTGGATCACGAGGTCAGGAGATCAAGACCATCCTGGCTAACATGGTGAAACGCCATCTCTACTAAAAATACAACAAAGTAGCTGAGCATGGTGGCGGGCACCTGTAGTCCCAGCTACTGGGGAGGCTGAGGCAGGAGAATGGCGTGAACCCAGGAGGCGGAGCTTGCAGTGAGCTGAGATCGTGCCACTGCACTCCAGCCTGGGCACAGAGCAAGACTCCGTCTCAAAAAAAAAAAAAAAAAAAGGACTATGTATTTGTCTGTGTATATGCATATGTACAGTTATCATTATTTAACTTTCAAAGGCCTTAGCTTTTCACCACTAAGTTTAAAATGGAGGAATTAAAGGACCACATTAGAATAGCCACTATTATTCCTATTCTAAATATTTTGCTCTCAGCAATCAATGAGATTTTTCCAAATAAATTTTTTGCTAATTAAAATTCATTAATAAAAATTTTAACTTGAAAAGTCATAATAAATGTATATGCTTACCTCTCCTTTTTGTGAACAATTTAATACAACTGGTGGTCCAATAACTCTACAATCAGCCTTGTAGAGGTCATTAAAGACAGAATCCTGAAAGTCCGTGACTACAAATACATTTTCAAATTCCGGAGAATCCAAACCTTCAAATTCTTCCACTGACTCCATCTTTACAAAGCCCACTTTAATGTCCTTTTCATCATATAGTTAGCAGAAATAAAAATTATTTATATATCAAATAATCCATCTGTCTCTCTAAATAAGGCTTAACAATCAATTCAATATCAACTTTAACATGTTTATATTTGTAGAAAATAAGTTTCTATCACACAATAATCAGCATTACACTTAATGAACAACCATATTTCTTTACGTACTTACATTTTTACATATACATATCTCCATTCAAATTAAGTTCTTAAATTTTAAAGATCAGTATTATAAAGGCATAATTCTGACTTATTACTTATTAGTCATAAATCATCAAGTATGCATAAGTTCCATAAAATTAGAATGCTAAAGTTTTTAAGTACATGCATTTTGATATCAAGATGCATTAGAAAGATATCCACTACTGACCAAGAAAATGATACCATACATAAAGTTCTTATTGTACAAATTAACTATCTTCAGAAAAATAGGAAAATAATACTATAGCACTTAATACTTACAGAAAGGAAAATCAGCATAATCATTTTAGCAGATATGTAAGATATATGAGAAAGATGTGCAATATGTAGCAGTTGCAGCATGGCAAATGTAGGATATAAAAAGGCAAGTTACTTACAGTAAACACTTTATACATCCACGAAAAATAATGAAGATACTAAAGTACCTATATAACTCTTGTAACTCGTGTTAAATTAAAAAAAAAATTTTTTTTTAACTCAAAATGGGTCAGTAAATTATTTGAATTTTATTTGCAAGGCTAGTGTGATGTGCTAAATTATGTACCCCCAAAATTCATGTTGAAGCCCTAACCTAGAATGAAGAATGAAGTCCTTAGAGTGTGACTATATTTGGCGATAAGGACTTTAAAGAGGTAATTAAGGTTAAATGAGATAATAGGGGTGGGCCCTAATCCAACCTGGTGTCCCAATAAGAGGAAACACCAGGGATGCAAGGACACACAGAAGAAAGGCCATGTGAGGACAGCAAAAGGACACTGCAAGCCAAGGCGAGAGGCCTCAAGAGAAACTAAACCTACACACACCTTAATCTTGGACTTCTAGCCTCCAGAACTGTGAGAAAAGAAATTTCTACTGTTTAAGCAATTAACTATGTGGTATTTTGTTATGGCAGCCCTAGCAAACTAAAACAGCTGGATTCCAGAATTAGATTATTTCGTATGCTGAGGCAAATTCCCTGATTATAAATTACCGTGATTTATAATTTTGGAAATACAGCAAGAATTTAGACTAAATATAAAATGAATGAGAAAAAAGAAGCTAAGGAGTTAAAAAGTATAAAACAGTTTCTATTCATTAAGCTTCAGATTGCACACAATACACCTTGTGCCTAATTCCAATCACCAGAAAGTAGAATAATACAATCAAGGGAAGTGCAGCATGCCACATGCAATGAGTTACTTTGACCTACCATATTAATAACACTTTTTATTAATTTTTCATCCGATTTTCCAGGACAACTTTCTTTTATCTTTATAACAGGGACTTCCATTATTTTAATAGTCTGTGGAAAAGAGACTTAAGTATGAGGTTAAGAAAGCTATGAAACTATTTACACACTGATGGAAGAAAAATTGCATTACAAAAAAAACTAAAACCTAAAACTCCGTACCTTTAAGGCTTTTATAAGTTCTTCTTGTTTTCCAGCTTCTTGAACCAATATCACTCTTGTTTCAATCTGAGGCATCTCTTCTGTTAAAATGTAAAATGTTTCAATGTTTATCATGTATTAACATCACAATCAGTAGGTCCTTATCGCTCTTTTGGCTATATCTAGTATGTATTACATCTTTGAGGGAATCATAACTTTCTCTAAATTTAATAGGACTCAACTCCCAACTTATTACAAAAATATCTGGCTATATATCACTTTAGAGAAAGAGAAACCATATTGTAGCAGGGTATACAAACATCAGCATTCCTCCTAGCCAGAGAATGCGCTATCTTACATAGTCATCCTCCTCAACAGTGCATATAATTTTAGGAAAAACCCATTTATAAAGTGGTAAAGGAAAAAGTAGCTTTCACCTAACCAGTCATGACTGTATAACTTCTAGCTAATAATGCTGTAGCTAGACCGCCCTCACATACAGAAAAAGGAATATCCAAATTAAGATGCCTCCCTTTTCAAAGCTGCAAAGCATACAAATAACCCAAATAATAATCAGAAAAATGACATAGTGTAAAAGGATTCTGTAAACAAATATTTACTTAATACCTGTGCTCTAGCATTACAGTTGGTATTAAAATTAAATCTTAAGAAAGTCACTAATAAGTTTAGAATTAAAATAGAAATTGATTGTTTTAAAGCAGGTAACAGGTTTACCTTCTACATATGAAGTAGATCCAATAAGTAAGTTTTCCTTGGAAATCTCAGTAACTTTAGAATCAAAAATGGAAGAGTCTGCCAAGCTAGTCCTCCCAGTAGTGGATGTTAATACACTATTTTCAGCCATGATTTGTATTCTTCTAAATCAGCTGAAAAAATAAAATTTGAATAAAAATACATAAACATGGTCATTGGGCAAAAGTAAGTATTAGAGGCTCTTTTTACCTAGAATTTATAAAAAGTATTATTACCCATTTTTTTAATGAACCAAAGAAAGTCACTGACCTTCTCTGAGCCTCAGTTTCTTTTTCTGTAAAATAAACATACTAATACCTGACTCACAGGAATATAATAAAAATAACAATGTATCAAAAGCACATAGAACATTACTAGACATACAACAAACACTCAACTGTAGTCATAAATATTATTCTACCTCCCTTCTCCACACCTTTGCCCTCAACCAATTTCTCTTCCTATATTCAATTATAACACCACCATAACACACCTCCCACAAAAATCCTAGCCAAAAATCTGAGATCTATCCTAATTTTTTCCTCTCCCACATTTCCCTCCCCAAAATTCCTATCAATCCCACCTCAAGTATCTCTGGAATCTGGCCCCCCTTCTCTATACGTTCAATGACACAATGGTCACTTGGTCTAATAAACCAGCTCCACACAACTTTACCATCAGTTTCCTTAGAAATCACTCTCCACATGGTTTTCAGGAATATGCACCTAAATACAAATGTGACCATATCACTTCCCTGCTTAACAACTTCCATGAGTACTCCTTATATGTCCAAGTCCAAATTCACCACCAAGTTCACAATTTGGTCCCCGCCTAACTATTCACCCTCACCATCTGTAACTACCCCAGTCCCTATACAATCTATGCAACAGCAACAATGAATTTCTCAGCTATTTTTCAGGCACAAATCATAATTTACATCACATCTATTTGCATTTAGTGCTCGACTCTCCACCTATCTTGTCTTCCAACCCCCAATCCAACACTCTTGACTCATCCTCTGTGGATGTCTCTAAACCTCTCCGGTATAATTGGGCTGGTCCCTTGTCAGTATTTTCATAATTCTTTAAAAACACCTCTCCCCTAAAAGGTTTGACAAAACAATTATGCATGGGTGAGTGCCAATATAACTCTGGACTATGAAAGAAAATCCTTTTTTAAGTTTTCCAGGACTTAAGAAGAGTTTAAAAGCTAGACAGGGAATAAAAGGTTTAACAAGTTTTCATCAGGGTGGGTTGGGGGCTCACATCTGAAATCCCAGCACTTTGGGAGGCCAAGGCAGGAGGATCACTTGAGGGCAGGACTTCAACACCAGACTGGGCAACATAGCAAGACCCCATCTCTACAAAAAATTTAAAAATTAGCCAGGTGTGGGTGGCAGGTGCCTATAGTAGCTACTCAAGAGGCTGAGGTGGGCGAATCACTTGAATCCAGGAGTTTGAGGTTGTAGTGAGCTGTGATCCCACCACTGCACTCCAGTCAGTCTAGGTGACAGAGCAAGACCCTGTCTCTCTAAAAAAATTTTTTTAGAGATTTTTTTATCAATTTTCAATAAGTCAACTTTACTGAGAGTAAATTTCTAAATATTAGGCAAATATACAGAGGACCCACCTTTAACGAGAGCTACATGTCAGACTTTCCCCTTTCCTACTTCTTCAGATTAATAAAATATACAAATACCTTCCTCCAGAGTCTTAGCAAAGTAACAGTTTAAACTGTATGCTGTTATGTGACACTTCAAAATCAGGCAACTCAGCTTCCTGTCTCAGCCCTGCACATAGTCAGTTAAACCTCAGTTTCCACATTGGTGGAACACACATAGTACTACAACTCAAATCTAGTTAAGATGAAAACTGAATAGATGTCTTAAAGTGAACAACAAACAACTATTCTCATGTAATATTCACAATATGGATATTTCTTATGGCTTTACCATACATCCATGTCAATCATTATTCTAAGGCTCTCCAAAGGAGCGGTCCAATAGTTGTAACAGCCTTAATTTAGAATCAATGATAAATTCTATCCAGCCCTATTATTTTAAGTCTTCTACACTCAACCATTTCCAATGAAAAGGCATTAAAGTGGCTTTCATTCAAAGTCCCCTTAAAAGAATGTTTAAAAAAAAAAAAAAGTCAGGAGATGAGCTAACCTGCTTTAAGGACTGGAAGAGGAAAATCAAAAATACCATTTGAAAGGCCGGACGCGGTGGCTCACACTTGTAATCCTAGCACTTTGGGAGGCCAAGGCGGGCGGATCACGAGGTCAGGAGTTCGAGACCAGCCTGGCCAACACAATGAAACCCCGTCTCTACTAAAAATACAAAAATTAGCTGGGCTTGGTGGCAGGCACCTGTAATCCCAGCTACTCAGGAGGCTGAGGCAGGAGAATCGCTTGAACCCGGGAGGCAGAGGTTGCAGTGAGCCGAGATCGTGCCACTGCACTCCAGTCTAGGTAACAAGAGGTAGACTCCGTCTAAAAAAAAAAAAAAAACTTCTTGAAAATATTTACATTTTTCTCCTATGCCTCCCTCTTTAAGAGGGAGCACAGCAAATGATCAAAAGCAGATGATTAATAAAAGGGAGGGAGCATAGCAGATGATCGAAAGCAGATGATTAATAATTAAAATTGCCCCTGATGATACTGTATATGATCAATTTATTGCCAAAACAGCTTCAAAATGTATAGAGAAAAAGAGATGCACTACGGTAACTTGATGACATAACTAACATCCAACAGTCAGATTAGAAATGGAAATATATTAATCACTTTTTTTCAAATTACTGTATTCCAGAAGCCTTTAAAATAAGCACAATAGGATCAGTGTTCATAAACCTACACAGCTTCTCACCCAAGAACAGACCCAAGGAGCTTCTAACTAAACACACTATAACACATGCCCCCTTTTATCCCAGAGATAAAATTTGCCATGTAAACAAACATTCAAGTTTCCTTTTACTTAAATACTTTTTAGGCAATCATCTTCCAAGGTGAAGGACTAAAATGCAATCCAAGATATAATGGTGGTGTTATTAACAATAACATTACTATTAACAACTGACATTTACTTAACGCTTAATACGTGGCAGACATTGTCCTAAACCTTTTAATCTCTGCAGTAATCCTAAGAGGCAGGTACTATTATTATTTTCAATGTATGGATGAAGAAACGTAGGAACAGAGAGGTTAAGCAACTTCCCCTAAGTCAAACTGTTAGTAAGGGGTAAAAGAGGTATTCAAAGCCCGGCTAAATCCAGAGGCTGCGCCTTTAACCACTAAGCCGGACACATCTGTGCCGGGTGGCTGGGGAGGACGAGGGGCGGATGGCCTGGATTTATCTTGCAAAAACGAAAAATTAAACTTCCCGCAAAGAAGCCAGGATGAATCCTAGAATAAAACCACGGCGCACTCTGAGATAAGCCCCCAAAGGCTGCAAGTGCCGGCCCCCAAAGCCACAGGGCTGCGCGGCTTGCCAAAATCCCTTTCCCAACTCCCTCCCTTCACCCACACTCTTCTGTCCAAAAGAGCCAACAGGTGAGGGCGAAGATGCCCAGCAATACTGGGGGCTTCGGTCTCCCACTCCGCGTCAGGGCCCGGCTGCTGGGGGTGGGGTGCGGCGAGGGAGTTCCCGGATCCGGGAAGCCTGAGCTGGGGCGCTCCGGAATTCGCGGTCACTAGGGGCGGGGACGTCGACCGCAGGCAAAAGAGCCCTTGGCTCTGGAGCCGCTCGCCCACTTGCACCTCTCTCACTCACACAGAGTCCTTACCACTCTCAAAAAAGCCCTAGGAGTTCCACCTCTTCAAACGCCGACTCCTCTCACAAATACCGCCATTCCTCGCCGGCGGCCGCCACAACCGATTCAAAAACTAAGCTGCTCTCTCTAAGAGCCATGCCGATTGGCGCGTGATGTCAACCTCTTTCCCATAGGCAGGAGTCTCCAGAGGGGCGGTGATTGGTCGACGCTCTCCAAGTCCCGGCAGGCGCCGCTTGATTGGTTGTGCGTGTGTTTCAAATAAGCCCAACGACTCGGGCGTCGGGACGCCAGGAGTTTGCAGAGAAGTGCCCGGATGTGGCCAGGAGGTGGCGGTGGTGGCTCCTGAGGTCTTAAAGGAGTAGCAGGTGTTTCTGTGACTACCGCATATTTACTCAGTAAACATCCTACTTCCTGAGGAAAGTTTGGGTGGATTCTCCTCGGCCCCACCCAGCTTTTTTTTTTTTTTAAACGATACCAAATCTTTTAAGCTTAAATCAGTGCCGCCAGAGATAAATGTTTCCCTGCTGCTTGCTGTGAGCTGTAGGATTTTCCTATCGGGATGCTTTCTGCTTTAGGAATGTATTTAAATTTGAGTTAAGGGATTTTGACTTTGATGGTTGTATTGGCGTGTGGCAGGGCCAAGGACCGGTCCTAGAACTCGGACTCCCCAGGTGGACTTCAAATCAGCAGCCGCTTATTTAAATGCTATTATTTAAAGCACTGCGCTCCCATCTAGGGAGTATCGCGGGTTAGAATCAATTCTTAGAAATTAGAAAAATTCTCGGATTTTTTTAAAGATAAGCTTGAATTTGATAAAAATATGCCACGAGATTCTAGAATTTTTGGAGCCAAATTGCTTCGTCTTTGCCCCCCTCCGCCCACTAAGAACTTGTACTTTCCCCTAAAGTCTAGTCAAGAATGTATCAAGTTTTTCCTGTGATTAGCGTTGCTATTATGAAAATAATTTCTTTATTTTCTAAATATGATACCATATAACACAATCTCTTAAGAAAAATACACCCCCACCAGGTGGGTTTTCCATAGTTCCCACCTGAAGGCTAATATAAATAGAAGAAGAAAGGGGAATCAGATGCCAGAACCTAAATACCAATAAGAAGAGGCAAACGTGTACTTTGGGATGGAACACTTGTGAGCATCTCAAGCAGGTTGTGGGGACTTAACAATTTTTTCTAATTTTGTCAGGCAATCTTAGAATGCCTGAAAAGTTTATAATGCTGTCCACAAAATGAATGAAGCAATCTGGTAATTATTGGTTTCCCTGCTTGTCAGTATTTAAGTCTGACCTTCATTAAAATGCTGTGATAACTGTTACGGCAGAAAAAAAGAAAAACAGTAATTGAAATTTCCATTTGGAATGTGCTTGCGTATTTGGAAGTCGGGTGTGCCCAGCATTCCAAAAACGTTCATCACTGAAAACATATTAAGCTATTGTGGGAAGCAGCCCTACTTCCTTTGTGCACCGCTTTCTGCTCAACAGACTTTCCAAAGCTAATGATTAACTGTGTATGGTATCATTGCCATGAATTTTAAGCTTCCCTAACAAAAGCTGTACTTGATTTCTTTTAAGGGATGTGTGGCAGTTAGATTAACAAATAAACGGGTAATACAACCTTTTTCACTCTCTTAGGTCTTCATTTACTCAGCAAATATTTACTAATTTTAAGACAGCCATTGTGCTTGTTGGGGTTATAAAGATGAATAAGGCATAGAAAACTGCCTGTCTGGACCACACAATCTGGTGAGGGAAATTAGCAGATAAACAGATAATTACAGTATAAGGGAGAGAAGAAAGAGAATGAACATACTGATACTTTACTATGCACTTTATACCTTATTTAATCCTTAAAACAACCCACAAGTAGGTATCATAGTCCCATGATACCATGAAACTGTAGGAAAGGTTTAAGTAACTTACCCAGTGTCTCCTAATAAATATTTTAGCCCGCATTAGAACCCAGAAATAATAGATGAGTGTAAATAAAGTCTAGTATAGATCTGTCTGCAGGCTCAAAGAAAGCAATGTGGAGAGGAGTATTTCAGATAATCGTGTGCATAGGTGATCATATGCCACTTAATTGCACCTAGCAGAGGGCTGGTGTCTGGTAAAGTAAAACATGATCCCTCATCTTCAGGTATTTTCAAAAAGCTAGTACTGCAAAGGCAAATGTTACACATTGCTCTCTAATAAACACAGGAATCTTCACATGTAGGTACCAAATAAATATTTCGAGAGTGAATGAGCTAGATCCAAGTTCATTCATAATGTTTGAGAGACTGGATGTCCTGATTAACCTAATCATAGTTTATTCATTTAATAACTATTAAGCACCCATTAGGTACTATGCTAGCACTGAGAATATAGGTGTGACAAGACAAATATGGGCCTTGTTCTCATGGCACTTCTAGCAGATAGCTGTATTTGCGGTGAAAAATTTATTGCATGCATAGGTTTTCACAGAATTCAAATACCTACAAAACAATGATACAAGTAACTTAGTCTTACTGAGTCAGAAGCTGTTTCAAGTGCTATAGTGTTTCAAGATCAGCATTATGAAAAATTTTTAAATACTATATACGGCATAGGCAATTGAACTGAATGGCATATTAACCTTGAACTTTTTTAAAAACATAAATTCTTAATATTAGCTTGTTTACGTGCACTTTAGGCTCTCATAAAAGCTCAATATATATAGGAGACAGTAAACAGTTTGGTGTGGCTGGATCATAATATACATGAAGAGGACAGTGGAAGACAACTGACATACGCTAGGTTAGGCTAGGTGTGGGGGCTCATGCCTATAATTCCAGCACTTTGGGAGACTAAGGCAGGAGGATCCCTTGAAGCCGGGAGTTCAAGACCAGCCTAGGTAGTGACTGCACTCCATCCTGGGCGATAGAGCAAGACCGCCCCTCCCCCCCACCATCCAGCCCCCATCTCAAAAAAAAATAAATGCTGGCCAGGTGCAGTGGCTCATGCCTGTAATCCCAGGCATGAGATTACATGCCTTTGGAAGGCCCAGGCGGGCGGATCACGAGGTCAGGAGATCGAGACCATCCTGGCTAACATGGTGAAATCCTGTCTCTACTAAAAATACAAAAAAATTAGCCGGGCGTGGTGGCACGCGCCTGTAGTCCCAGCTACTCGGGAGGCCGAGGCAGGAGAATGGCGTGAACCCGGGAGGCGGAGCTTGCAGTGAGCAGAGATTGCGCCACTGCACTCCAGCTTGGGCGACAGAGCGAGACTTCATCTCAAAAAATAAAAAATAAAAAGTAAAATAAATGCCATGTTAGAAGGAGCTTGGGAAGAGCTCCACTGTCATGACAGAGTTTAAACTTTATGCTGAAAGCACTGAAGATCAATTAAAAACCTTGAAGCAAGGAAATTATATGGTCTGTGTTATTTTTTAAAAGTAGCGATCAGGACCAGACACAGTGGCTGACATCTGTAATCCCAGCACTTTGGGAGCCCAAGACGGGCGGATCACCTGAGGTCAGGAGTTCGAGACCACCCTGGCCAATATGGTGAAACCCCGTCTCTAAGAAAACTACAAAAGTTAGCCGGGCGTGGTGGTGCGCACCTGTAGGCCCAGCTACTCCAGAGGCTGAGGCAGGAGAATCACTTCAACCCAGGAGGCGGAGCTTGCAGTGAGCCGAGATCACGCGACTGCACTCCAGCCTGGGCAACAGAGCGAGACTCCGTCTCAAAAAAAAAAAAAAAAAAAAGTAGCAATCTGGGAACACAACACAACTTCACTTGAAATAGAAGAATGAAATAGAAGAAAGACCAGTGAGAATATGGTTGAATTCAAACTCATAGGAAATGATAGTCTGAACTAAGATAGAAAAGATGGGTTGGAGAGATAAGGAATAGGAAAAATTACTGGGACTTTGATTAAATATAGAGGATGAGAGTGGAATCAAAATATGTAAAAATTACTACATCCATATAAATTTCTGATAAATAGCAGTATCATTAAATAAATAGAACAGTTTCCAAATTCAGAAGACTAGTTCTCTGTCTTTCTTCCTTTGATGAACCAGCCAATTAGATTCACAGTTCCTTGAATTTTTGAATCCCAAAACCTCAATTCAACACTTATTTTGATGGACAATATCCTAAATGTTTTACACTCAATTGCTTTAGCTCTCAAATGTTAACTTCAAACATTCCATTCTGATTACGAAATTTTCTTCCCATCTCTTAATCCCTTTCACACATGAATCAAGGATATTTAGCCTTCAGTTCCCCCTAATGATAGCACCCCTTTCTAACCCATGGTCATTAATTCAGCTGCTGAAAGACCACCACTTTCACTGTCTTACTTCTCTTCCTGCCTCTCTGATGTTTCCTTCTCGGTTTCCTTTGCTTAGATATTATTGTTCCCCAAAGTATTATTCTCAGGCAACCCCCTTTCCCTAGGTGAACTCATTCATTCCCAGGGATTTAAGTTATATGCATATGCTTCCACGTCTCTCTTTCTTGCCAGACCTTGTTGAAACCCACTCTATAATGCCAGTTGTTTACCAATTTTTTCTGCTCCTGTGACCCACAATCCTATCAAACTCTTCATGTGCTAAAGTGAATTCTTCTTTTCCCCAGCTCTCCATCCTTTATCTCCTCTGCCTCTTGTATTTCTCTCCTGATTAGTAGAATCCCCATTCACTCTGACTCCCAAGTTGGATCTCTCAAAGTCATCTTCCTGTTCCCTTCCTCCTCTTGGTCTCCCTGCACCACCAACCCCAACACCATTCTCCCAATTTGACCTGAAAAATATTTCTAGAATCTGAATCTTCCCCCTTCAGTCCACTGCCCGAGTTTAGGCCTTCATTATCTCTCATCCAAACTATGACAAGGACAGCCTTCTAGTTGGTCTTTTGGGAACTAATCACTCTCTCTACTTCCAGTCATCAGTCACAGAATTATCTTCATTTAGAAAACTAAATATGACTATGTATCCCCCTCCTTAAAAACAAAACTAAACCAAAAGACATGGTTTCTTCACTGCTCACAGAATAAAGTCCAGTATAAGATGGACTTCCCAAGATGACTGTAACCTAATTTTCTATCACCCTCATCCCTACCACATACGCACCCTGTGTTCAGCCATACTGAACTTTTCGTCAGTCCACAAACATTCCAGGCGATTTCCTAAATCCCTACCTTTGAATATTCTTTTCCACCTGCCCTGCCTCCCTCTGTCTGCATGAAAATTCCTATTCATTCAGGACCCCACTCAAGCATCACCTCAATGAAGCCTTCTTTGACTATCCCATGGAGAGTAAACTGCTTCTTCTGATTTGTATGAGCTTAATACTGTTTATACCTCAGTATGGCTCCTGTCACCTTGTATTGGAAATATTGGTTAACATGGCTGTCTCCTCTATTAAAATATGAGCTACTCAAGAATAGGGAAAAGAACCATATCCTTTCCATCTTTGTACCCTGGCACTTGTGCTCTCAAAAAATATCTATGGAGGCTGGGCACGGTGGCTCACCCCTGTAATCCCAGTACTTTGGGGGCTGAGGTGGGCGGATCATTTGAGCTCAGGAGTTTGAGACCAGCCTGTGGCAACATGGAGAAACCCCATCACTACCAAAACTACAAAAAATTAGCTGGGCATAGTGATGCACTTCTGTGGTCCCAGCTGCTCAGAGTGGGGGGATGGGGTGGGAAGGTCTCTTGAGCCCAGGAGGCAGAGGTTGCAGTGAGCTGAGATCAAGCCACTACACTCTAGCCTGGGCAGCAGAGCACGACCCCATCTCAAAAAAAAAAAAATTATGGAAAAGAGGAAAGAAGGGAAAATAACCAGATTTTTTAGTAGTTTGATTTCTGTCCATATCTTATTTCATGTCAGAGGCTGGCTGGGGTTTCTGCATCTTTTTTTTCCATCGGTAAATTAGCAGCCATGAATACTCCTTCTCTACTTGTTACTGTTGCTTTATCAATTGTTCATGATATCAAAATAGGTCAGTAAGTTCATGTTGACTTATTACTGCATATTTCTACTTATTAACTTGGTTACGGTTTTGTGTATAAATTGGAATAAATTATCTGCATACTAAATATTAGAACATGCTTTCTAACCCTATGTGTTTCTCTTGCTCTTTTTTTTTTTTTTTTTTTGAGGTGAGATGGAGTTTGCTCTGTCACTCAAGCTAGAGGGCAGTGGCACCATTATAGCTCACTGCAGTCTCAAACTCTTGGGAACTCCTGGGCTTAAGCAATCCTCCCACTTGAACCTCCCGAGTAGCTGGGACTATAGGTGTGTGCCACCATACCCACCTAATTTTTTTTTTTTTTTAATTTCAAGAGATGGTGTCTCGCTGTTTGGCCCACACTAGTCTCGAACTTCTGGGCTCAAGCAATCCTCCCACCTCAGCCTCCTGAGTCACTGGAATTACAAGGCATAAGCCATCACACCTGGCTAACCCTATGTTTCCTAAAAATATGTGATAACTCTTTCCCCATGATTATGGGGTATCTTAGCCCATTTCATTGCTATAAAGGGATACCTAGCTGGCCATACTGGCATGTGCCTGTAATCTCAGCTACTCAGGAGGCTGAAGTGGGAGGATCACTTGAGCCCAGGAGTTCAAGGCTGCAGTGAGCCATGATTGCACCACTGCACTCCAGCCTAGGTGACAGAGTGAGATCCCACTCTAAAACAATTTTTTTTTTTAAGATGGAGTCTCACTCTGTCATCCAGGCTGGAGTGCAGTGGTGTGATCTTGACTCACTGCAACCTCCATTTGCCGGGTTTAAGTGATTCTCCTGTCTCAGCCGTCCTAGTAGCTAAGATTACAGGCACATGCCACCACTCCTGGCTAATGTTTATATTTTTAGTAGAGACAGTGTTTTACCATGTTGCCCAGGCTGGTCTCGAACTCCTGACCTCAAGTGATCTCCCCACCTCAGCCTCCCAAGGTGCTGGGATTACAGGCGTAAGCCACCATTCCTGGCCTCATGGCTCATGGTTCTGCAGGCTGTACACAGTGCCAGCCTCTGCTTCTGGTGAGGCCTTTGGAAGCCTCCACGCATGGTGGAAATGGAAGGGGAGCTGTTTTGTGCAGAGGCATCACATGGTGACAGAGGAGGCAAGAGTGAGAGGATGGAGGTGCCAGAGGCCATACTCTCATTTTTAGAAACAAGGTCTCACTCTGTTGTTCAGACTGGAATGCTAATCATAGCTCACTGTAACCTCAAACTCCGGGCTCACCTGCCTCAGAGTCCTGAGCAGCTGGGACTACAGGCATGAGCCACCACACCTGGCTTGGACTCTTATAAACAACCAATTCTTGCAGGAACTAACAGAGCTAGAACTCATTCATTACTCCCAGAACAGCACCAAGCCATTCATGGGAGATCTCCTCCATAACTCAAACACCTCCCATTAGTGCCACCTCTAACACTGGAGATCAATTCAACATGAGGTTTGGCGTGTCAAATATCCAAAGTATAACAGGGGGTAATATTCAAGGAATGTGGCTTAAAATAACGTGAGCTAATGTTTCACTCTTAAATCCCCATAGCTTAATTGCTGAAACCTGATTTCTTCCAAGTCAGTTTTCCAAGATTGCTTATGCAAATTGCCTCAAAGTAGCTACCAACACTGTTTACTTCTCTCTGTGCAGACATGAACTGAAGAGCTTCCCACTCCTAGTCTCTTAGCCTGAACAGCTCCCCAATACTTCTTCGTTTCCCTGGTTTTTTGTCTTAGCCAGCCCCTTCTGCAGTGCAACTACCAGGTACAGACACTTTGACTCACACGCTGTCATTCCCAAGTGGGCCTCTTCTCCTTGGGCCACCATCACTTTGCAGAGATTTCACACCTTGGGGTCCCCGAACACTTCTCTACAATAGGCTTCCCCTGTCTGCTTGAGAGGCTCTATAGCTTTAGAATAGGGAACCCGACTCCCTGGGTTTCGACCCGGCTTTTCCATTTCCTAGCCATGTGACCTTAAGCAAGTTATTTTACATCCCTATACCTCAGTTTGGTCTTCTGTAAAAGGATATGATAGTACTTATCTCAAAGTATTGTTATGAGAATTGAAGGAATTAATATAGATAATTGAAACATTTTAGCACATAGTAAATATTCAATAGATGTTAGCTGTTAATAGTACCATTATTTCTGCTACTATTATGGTTGCTGCTACTCTTACTACTATGTTATCTCAGCTGACCTGTAATTGCCTGATGGAAATGGTGGCTCTCTATGCTGCCTTCCCACCCCTGACCGCAGGAGCAATGGCACCTGTGCTGCTGTTCCTCTCTCCCCACCCTACCCTATCCACAACACCTGCCCCCACAACACCAAGGCTGCCACAGGAAAGACCACCATCAAATTCTTTTTTTTTTTTTGAGATGGAGTCTCACTCTGTCACCCAGGCTGAAATGCAGTGGCAAGATCTCGGCTCACTGCAACCTCTGCCTCCCAGGTTCAAGCGATTCTCCTGCCTCAGCCTCCTGAGTAGCTGGGACTACAGGCACCTGCCACCACGCCCAGCTAATTTTTTTTTTTTTTTTTTTTTTTGTATTTTTAGTAGAGACGGGATTTCACCATGTTGGCAAGGGTGATTTCAAACAGCTGACCTTGTGATCCGCCCGCCTCGGCCTCCCAAAGTGCTGGGATAAGAGGCATGAGCCACCGCACCTGACCCACCATTGAATTCTTTTCTCACCAGGAGGCACAGTTCCTTCTTCTATACCAAATCTAATAGTCCTCTTTTTTTTTTTTTTTTTTTTGATTCAGACATTCTTACTAAACCCTCTTGTTTGTCAGGGAAACCTTGCTGCACCTAAGCTGTCTCCTCCTGTCTGGAAGATGTGGACTGCTTGCTGTGGCCCTTGGCCAGTCTTCTGTGCCCTTCCAACACAGATCCTAGCCAAGATTCCTTATGTTAAATGTTAGCCTCTCCTCCAGGTCCCTTCGCTGGAAGTATTATAATTATTGAATTCATATGTCAACGGGACAAAACCTGTTTAAAGCTTGTATAGGATATATACAATGAACTTGTCATTGTGATCACATTATAAATACATATATATCAACTATAGGCTGGGCGCGGTGGCTCACGCCTGTAATCCCAGCACTTTGGGAGGCCGAGGCGGGCGGGTCACGAGATCAGGAGATCGAGACCATCATGGCTAACACAGTGAAACCCCGTCTCTACTAAAAATACAAAAAAAAAAAATAGTCGGGCATGGTGGCACGCGCCTGTAGTCCCAGCTACTCGGGAGGCTGAGGCAGGAGAATGGCGTGAACCTGGGAGGCGGAGCTTGCAGTGAGCTGAGATCGCGCCACTGCACTCCAGCCTGGGTGACAAAGCGAGACTCTGTCTCAAAAAAAATATATATATATATATATATACATATATATATATATCTCAACTATAAAAAAATATGTAATCTACAATACCTAAGATGCTGAATGAACATGTTTTAGCCACAAAATAGTAAAGGAATTGAAGTACTTAGTATATTGAAGAATATGATGTATTTTCCCCCATGCAATACAATAATTTTTGATGTGGAGGATGGAACTTCTTGTGGAGGAGCAGCTTCCCCATCTGCATCTCCAACCGGATTCACTAACACTCTGGACCATCCTTCGGGATCCCCATCTCACCCTTGTTCCTCTTCCAGTTTACTCTTTCCTCTGTATTCATATTTCCTTTCCTCTCTCCCCTCTCCCCTCCATATCCATCTTTCTTTTTTTCATCTATACTCCCTCAGAGAAGCAGAGAATGGCCAGTTTAGGAAAGTTAGTATTTGTTATGGTGTATCTACTCCCCCCCACCAACCTCGTTCACAAATGTGAACACTGCCAGTACAATCATTCATCAAATCAGAGTAAAGCTTTCTCACACCCTTATAGTTTGTTCTAGTCTACTAATGAGAACTGGTATATTTGAAAAATTATTAATTTTCTTACCAAGATGATCTAGGCAACAATTATTGTGGTGGGCTTTGTTTTTATTACCTAAAGTTACAACAAAATATAATTTATAGATTTTACTTCCAAATATGAAATGTTATATAATCAAGCAGTAACACTGTTTTATGGTAAATTTAAATCTTTCATCATAGGATTAAATGTTTTACTTTACCTAAATATTAACATCGTAATGTCACCTAGACCTCATGTAATTGTTTCTCTCCTTGTATATTGCCATTCCTACCCTGCAACACATTCATTAAGTACATAGCTGTACATAATGCCACACTAGGTACCACTACAAAGATTCAGTCCCCCCCAAGAATTTATTATTAAAGATTATTATTTCAAAAGTTTTAGTGAATGATCATGGAGTTCTGTCCTTTTTTGGAATTATTAACATTTTCCAATTAAAATGTCATATTTCCAAGTTGGTTGTAATATGGCATCTTCTAACCTGTTATCTGTGCCTATAAAATAAGCTTTAGAAAGTATAATCACAGTGAGCCAGAAGAAGCTATTCTACACACTTCAATAGTCCGTAAATTAGTATAGGAATTGTTGCTTTATTCATCTGAACCATTAGGCTATAAATCACTTGACACATACTTGCAAGACTCTACAAATTTAGCACTTAAAGTTTCATTTGGAAGAATAGAATTAGCTTTCTATGAAGGAGCAAGAGGTTTCCAGATATGACAAAGCTATTATTTCAAATTATGTAATTGAATTAGTAAAATTTCAGATACGGGAGGGAAAAAAATCTCAGCTCCTTAGCCTCATTCTTCATTTAACAGATGAGTTTTACCAAGGCCAGCAACATAGAGGTTACACTCCTTTGCCGAGGTCAGGTAACTAGTTATTGACAAAACCAAGATCAAAAGTTTTATTTCCATTAGTCTAGTCTTCTTGCTATAGATATTTATATTTTATATTGTACATATAAAAGTACCGATATCTTTATTCATAATACATATATGTTTTGCCTTTGAAATAATTAAGATGCTTTCAGTTCTGTAAGAGCCTTTTTGGTCTTATTCACCAATGTATCTCCATATCTCCAGCACTTAGCAACACAGCACATTCCTGACAGATAGTAGTCTCAAAATTTGTTCCAAGAATAGCATTGTAACTGATGTCCAATAATTAATACTGCCTTCATCTGATCCATTCTCTAGCCTGCATTCAGAGTAACATTATGCAAGTCTAAACAGATTATGTCATCACCTCCTTAAAACACTTCAATCCTACTAGGCCTGCATGGTCTGACCTCTATCTGCTTCTCCAACGTCATCTTATACCATGTTTACTTCCTTTCTCTTAGGTCTAACTATACCTGCCTTCCTTCTAAGCATTTTTTGCACCTGCTCTTCTCTCTACCTATCCTTCTAATCCCCATTCCTTTAACCTAGAGTAGGCAACTACTACTCATCTTTTAGTGCATGCTCACTTCCAACTCCTTGAAAGGTCTTTTCTAACTACCCACCTTATCACAACCCTCACTCACACCCCCCAGCACCATGAGTATCTCTTTTGTGGTACTTGATGTAATTACTAGATTAATGTTTGTCTCTTTCACTATCTAAGCCACATGAAAGTAGGGACAATGTCTTTTTGTTAACTATTTTGTCCACAGTGCCTGACAGATACGAGGCACTCAGATATTGCTGAAATAACAAGGGAATGAATTAATATATAAATAAGTTTATTCTCCTTATAATATCAGTGGTGCTTTTTCCAAAGATAATAAAGTTTCAATTATTTTTACTTTTATCTAATCCATTATTTACGACAAATTTTCCTGTTGTTTCTTACTAGGTATGATGGATGAAGTGGCATATTTCCAAATTAATAAATTTACATCTTTAATTGACGTTTGAGTATATTATCTAAGAATGACATGATTTTTGTACCATAGCCAGCCCAGCTATGAATGGAAGAGGGTTAATGCTAATGCTACTCAACTAATTCAATTAAGACTTGCCACTGTTTATGAACATAGGCAATTATCCATATCAAAAATTCCATTTTCTTACAACCTATGCTTTCATAAATTATACATAAGTCTACATCTGTAAATGGCCTCTTCCACACCATCAAGTAACTTTCAAACATGTGAGGTATCCCAAAGTGTTAATTATGACAATAACTCCATCTTTGTAGAATAGTATTTTCTATGACAATAATTTGAATACCATGATTTACTTAGCAATAAAATTGTTACAGTTCAAATGAATTGAAAAATGGAGTTGCTAATGCAGTTGAAATAAAAATAGAACCTAGGCCATCAAAAAATGGTGGATATTTGACCTGGATTGTATGCCCACTTCAAAATACATGAAAGGCAAATTGATAGAATTAAATGGAGAAATAGATAATTTCACAATCATACCTGGAGATTTTAAGACCTTTTTTCTTTTCTTTTTCTTTTTCTTTTCCTTTTTTTTTTTTTTTTTGAGACGGAGTCTTGCTCTGTTGCCCAGGCTGGAGTGCAATGGTGTGAGCTCAGCTCACTGCAACTTCTGCCTCCCAGGTTCAAGCGATTCTCCTCCCTCAGCCTCCCGAGTAGCTGGGATTAGAGGCATGCACCATCAAACCTGGCTAATTTTTGTATTTTTAGTAGAGACAGGGTTTCACCATGTTGGCCAGGCTGGTCTCGAACTCCTGACCTCATGATCTACCCACCTCAGCCTCCCAAAGTGCTGGGATTACAGGAGTGAGCCACCACACCTGGCAGAACTGTTTTTCATTACCTGATAGAAAAGCTAAATAAAATCAGTAATGAGAAAGATAACCTGAACAACCTATTAACCACCCACCTAGCAATTGCAGAATATGTATTTTTTTCAGGGACATATAGTATGTGTCTTAAGGGTAAACCATACTCTGGACCATGAAAGATGTCTCAAATTTTAAAAACTGAAATCATACAGAGTCTGTTGTCTAACCACATTGAAACTAAATTAGAAATGAATAATAGATACCTAAGAAACCTCCAAATATTGAGAAATTGAACAACCCATTTATAAAAGCCATGGGTAAAAGAAGAAATCACTAGAAAACATATCTAGGTGAATAATAAAAAATAAAACATTAAAATTGAGGGGTACAGCTAAAGCAGTACTTAGAGGAACATTTTTTAGCTTCAAATGGTTATATGAAAATTTAAAAAGAAACAAATCTAGAATGAATAACCTAAGGTTCCACCTTAAGGAGATACGAAAACAATAGCAAAGAAAACCTAAAATGAATAACAGCAAGAAAAGGGAAGAAACCAATGGGACAGAAAAGAGACAAACAATGAGAAAATTAAGAAAACCAAAAGTTAGTCTTTGAAAAGATCAACAAAACTTATAATCCTCAAGTTAAATTGGTCAAGGAGCTCCCGCACAGTGACTCACACCCGTAGTCCTAGGTCATTGGGAGGCTGAGGTGGGAGAATTGCTCGAATCCAGGAGGTCGAAGCTGCAGTGAGCCATGTTCATGCCACTGCACTCCATCCTGAGTGACAAAAGAGAGACCATGATTCTTAAAAAAAAAAAAAAAAAAAAAAAAAAAATTTGTCAAGGAAAAAGAAGGAACAGAAATGAATAATATTAGCTGAAAAGTGGGGTTGTCACCACAGATTCTACAGAACTTTTTTTAAGAGACTAGGTCTCCCTCTGTTGCCCAGGCTAAAGTGTTATGGTGTACTTATAGCTCACTGTAGCCATGAACTCTGGGGCTCGAACAATCCTCCTGCCTCAGCCTCCTGAGTTGCTGGGACTACAGGGGCAACAATCTCTGTGTGTTTTTTTGTTTGTTTGTTTTTTGTTTTTTTCCGAGAATCTCCCTATGTTGCCCAGGCTGGAGTGCAGTGATGTGATCTCAGCTCACTACAACCTCCGCTTCCCAGGCTCAAGTGATTCTCCTGCCTCAGCCTCCCAAGTAGCTGGGATTACATGTACCCGCCACCATGCCCAGCTAATGTTTGTGTTTTTAGTAAAGACGGAGTTTCACTATGTTGGCCAGGTTGGTCTCAAACTCCTAACCTCAGATGACACGCCCACCTCAGCCTCCCAGTGTGCTGGGATTAGAAGCGTGACCCACCACACCCGGCCTAATTGTTTTACTTTTGAAGACATGGCATCTCCCTTTTTTTTTTTTTTTTTTTTTTTTTTTGAGACACAGTCTTGCTCTGTCTCCCAGGCTAGAGTGCAGTGGCACAATCTCGGCTCACTGCAAGCTCCGCCTCCCAGATTCAAGCGATTCTCCCTTCTCAGCCTCCCAAGTAGCTGGGACTACAGGTGCCCGCCACCATGCCTGGCTAATTTTTTGTATTTTTAGTAGAGACAGGGTTTCACCGTGTTAGCCAGGATGGTGTTAGCCAGGATGGTCTTGATCTCCTGACCTCGTGATCTGCCCGCCTCGGCCTCCCAAAGTGCTGGGATTACAGGCGTGAGCCACCGTGCCAAGGGCGTCTCGCTTTCTTGCCCGGGCTAGTCTCAAACTCCTGGGCCCAGTAGATCCTCTCACTGCAGCCTCTCAAAGTGCTGGGAATACAGGTGTGAGCCACTGTGCACGGCCCAGATTCCACAGATATTAAAAAGATAATAAGAGTGTTATGCCAACAAATTGTCAACTTAGATAAAGTGAACACTCTTTGAAAGATATACCAAAAAGTTTCACAAAAATAAACAGAAAAACCGAATAGCTCTATACCTATTATTAAAATGGAGTTAATTAACCTCACACACACACAAAAAAAAACAGATTTAATAGGGAACTCTATCAAATATTTAAGAAATATTTAACACTATCTTTATATGAACTAATTCAGAAAATAAAAGAGAAGCGACCGTTTGTTTTATGAGCTTTGTGATACCCCAGTACAAAATCCTGAGAAAAGAACACTACAGAGAAAGAGATAAACACCACACCAATATCCCTTTTGAAGGCAGATGAAACATAAAAGTTAACAAGGCTGGGCGGAGTGGCTCACGCCTGTAATCCCAGCACTTTGGGAGGCCGAGGCGGGCGGATCACGAGGTCAGGAGATCGAGACCATCCTGGCTAACACGGTGAAACCCCGTCTCTACTAAAAATACAAAAAATTAGCCGGGCGTGGTAGCGGGCGCCTGTAGTCCCAGCTACTCGGGAGGCTGAGGCAGGAGAATGGCGTGAACCCGGGAGGCGGAGCTTGCAGTGAGCCGAGATCGCGCCACTGCACTCCAGCCTGGGCGACAGAGCGAGACTCCGTCTCAAAAAAAAAAAAAAAAAAAAAAAAAACCCGTCTCTACTAAAAATACAAAGTTAGCCAGGCATGGTGGCGTATGCCTGTAATCCCAGCTACTCGGGAGGTTGAGGCAGGAGAATCGCTTGAACCCGGGAGGCGGAGGTTGGGGTGAGCTGAGATTGTGCCATTGCACTCCAGCGTGGGCAACAAGAGTGAAACTCCGTCTCAAAAAAATAAATAAATAAATAAAATTAAAATAAATAAATAAATAAAAAAGTTAACAAAATACTTGTGGATCAAATTCAGCAATATATAAAAAAGATCATCCATTATGATCAAATAGGGTTTATTCCATTCAAAATATAATCAATGTAACACACTGTATTAACAGAGTAAGGAGAAAAAGACCTTGTGATCATTTCAATAGATGTGTAAAAATGATGTAATAAAAATAAACACCCTATGGAGACTAAAAAGATCAGTGGTTGCCCGGGGTTAGGAGAGAGGAAGGGAAGAATAGGTGGAACACAGAGGATTTTTAGGGCAGTGAAACTATTCTGCATGATACTGTAATGGTGCGTGCCCTTATAAGTTTGTGCAAACCAATAGACTGTGTAATACCAACAATGAACCCTAATGTAAATTATAGATTTTAGGTAATAATCATGTGTCAATGTTGCATTTCATTGTAATATATGTACCACTCTTTTAGGGGATGTTGATAATGGTGAACTTATGCACGTGGGGGGGCAGGCAGGAGGTATATGGGAAATCTCTGTACTTTCTGCCCAATATTGCTGTGAACCTGAAATTGCTCTAAAAAATCATCTATTCGGCCGGGCGCGGTGGCTCAAGCCTGTAATCCCAGCACTTTGGGAGGCCGAGGCAGGTGGATCATGAGGTCAGGAGATCGAGACCATCCTGGCTAACACCGTGAAACCCCGTCTCTACTAAAAATACAAAAAATTAGCCTGGCGTGGTGGCGGGCGCCTGTAGTCCCAGATACTCAGGAGGCTCAAGCAGGAGAATGGCGTGAACCCGGGAGGCGGATGTTGCAGTGAGCCAAGATCGCGCCACTGCCCTCCAGCCTGGGCGACAGAGCGAGACTCCGTCTAAAAAAAAAAAAAAAAAAAAAATCATCTATTCAAAAACAAGTAAACATTCATGATAAAAAATTCTCAACAAGCTAGAAGTATGAGAATTTTCTCAATATGTCTTCTATGAAAAAACACTGCCAAGATCACATTTAATAGTAAAATATTGAATGAACAAGTCGAAAATGCCCATTATCACTACCTCCATTCAACATCTTATTGAAGGTCCTATTCCTTGCAATAAAGAATGAAAAACAAAGAAAAGGCCTAAAGATCAGAAGGAAACAAGGAAAACTGCTTTAATTTGCAGATGATCTAACCAATTCATAGAAAATTCTAAGGAATCTACAAAACTACCCATAGAAATATTTAATTGAGTTTAATAAGGTTGCAGAATGCAAAATTAATATACAAAAATCAATGATTTTTTTAAAATATAGCAATCATCTATTGAAAAATGAAATTAGGTAACAACTTCATTTATAATTCATCAAAAAATATAATATGGCCGGGCACTGTGGCTCATGCCTGTAATCCCAGCATTTTGGGAGGCCAAGGTGGGAATTGGGAGTATCACTTGAGCCCAGGAATTCGAGACTAGCCTGGGCAACATGGTGAAACCTTGTCTCAACAACAACAACAACAACAATAAAAACAAACATTAGTGGGAGTGGTGGCTCACTGTTGTAATCCCAGCTACTGGAGAGGCTGAGGTGGGAGGATCACTTCAACCCAGGAAGTTGAGGCTTCAGTGAGCTGTGATCACACCACTGCACTCCAGCCTGAGTGACAGAGCAAGACCCTATCTCAAAAATGAAAAACAAAACCATAATATACTTAGGAATTAATTTAACAAATGACATGCTAACCCTCTACACTGAAAACTAGAAAACATTACTGGGATAAATTAAAGACCTGAAAAATTGGAGAGATATACCATGTTCAAGGACTGTAAAGCTCAATATTGTTAAAATATCAAACACAAATTGGAAGATAGAATAAATCCCAATCAGGATCCCAACAGACTTTTTGTAGAAATTGACAAGATGACTTTAAAATTTGTTGAAAATCAAAGGACCTAGAATAGCCAAAGTAATCTTGAAATAGAATAAAGAGGACTTCCATTACCTGACTTCAAGACTTAACCTAAAGCTACACTAGTCAAGATAGTGTTGTACTAGCATAAGGATCAACAAATCGATAAATAAAACAAACAGAATGTCTGAAGACTGCTACCCTTATACAGCCTTCTGACTTCTTATAAAGGCACCAAAGCAATCCAGTGGGGGAAAGGAGAGTCTTTTTGACAAATGGCATGGAAAGAAATAAATATTCACAAAGAATGAATCTCTACTCTTATCTCACACCATACATACAGATGACGACTTTGAGATAGATTATAGACCTAAACATGAAAGCTAAATTGTAAAGGTTTTGGAAGAAAAATAGGAAAATATCTCTATGACTTGAGTCTTGGCAAAGATTTCTTAGACAAGTCACAGAAAGCAATAACCATGAAAGAAAAAACTGATAAATTAGACCTCATCATAATTTCAAACAAAGAAACCACTAAGAAAATAAATTATGCAGTCCACAGACTGTAAAAAGAATTTACAAAACATATAGGTATGCATATGTTTTACACACACACATATACATCTTCAACATATATCTAGGAGATATAAATCTAGATATATAGTTATAGATATTTATGGGATATAGATCATATAGAAAATGATGTATATAGACATACATGTGTATCTCTGCCTAGATTTCTTATACCGCAATAACAAAAAGCTAATAAACAATGGATAAAAGTTTTGAATAGATATTTCATGACCGAATATAAACTATGGCCAATAAGCACCTGAAAACATGTTCAAAGTCATTAGTCATCAGCAATATGCAAATTAACACTAAAATGAAATAGCACTATACACACTCTAGAATGGATAAAATTAAAGAGACTATTGTTCTTAATTTAGAAAAATTAAAAAATATTTGGTGAGGATGTGGAAAAATCAGAACCTTCATACATTGTGGGCAGATAGAAAATGCTACAACCTCTTGGGGAACAGATCTGGCATACACCTGTCCTACAACCTTGACACTTACCCTAGAGAAACCAATACATGTATCTATGAGAAGACATATGAGAGTATTTACAGCAGTTTTAAAACTGCAAAAAACAAGCAAACAAGGTGTGATTTGCCAAGCACCAGAGGGGCACAGAAAGGCAGATAAATTCCATATTTTGGACAATAGGAGTGAGTTAGTGGAAACCTAAAATTGTCATGATTCTAAAAGTGTTTAACCTTTACTCTAGAGAGAATGAACAAATGGGTACCTTATGAAATAATTTGTAGGGTTATGTGAGGATTGTATGAAATAGTGTTGATTAGAACAGTGCTTAGAACAGTGCCTGACACCTAGAAAGCACTCAATAAATGCTCTTGCTATGATCACTTACTTGGCAAATATTTATTAGGTACTTCTAAGCCAGGCACTATGTTAATCACTGGGGATAAAATGACAAAACAAACTGATGTAGCCTGATCTAGACAATTTAATTCCAATCATGCTGCTTTCTTTTCTGTACAACTGGAGTGCACAAGGCAATACCATAGAGCATGATACCGTTCATGACAGAGAGGCAATTCTGTGTTAATATGTATGACAAAGAAAATGTTCCCCAATGCATACTAATATGAAGGTTGTGATGCTTAATATAGTCACAGACGTGATCAGGAAAAAAAAAACTAATGCTTTATCTCTCATTATTTTTATCTTCTCTTTCACACATAATTGAACTTATTTTTTAGAGGCTATTAAAATATTAATCTATTTTCTCCTTCATTAAGTGTAATTTCCTTTACTTTTTTATCAACATTTTGCATGCTTCCTTTCTTTTGAAGATCAAATGAAGCTGCTATGTATGAGTTAAGATGTTATCAATATTTTCAAATTACATTGTTTCATTTTTCCTAATTAAAATCCTTTTTGTTGTTGTCGTATTTTTTTTTTCATGAATGTGACTGATCAAGGAATTGGTATGTATTAAATCACTGCTCCTCACCAGGTGCAGTGGCTCACACTGATAATCCCAGTACTTCAGGAGGCCAAGGCAGGAGGATGGCTTAAAGCCAAGAGTTTGAGACCAGCTAGGCAACACAAGACCCTCTCTCTACAAAAAAAAAAAAAAAAAAAAAAAAAAAAAATCACCACACTGAGAACACCAAAGTGAAATTAAAAGCCAAGAATGTGTTATCATGTACCCAACTGTTAGTAGTAAATACCTCTGAACACCATTTCTATATTGCTTCATTTTTTAAAATTGTGAACATGGATTACTTTTATAATATAAAACTTGGAAAAGCAAAACAGCCCAAATCGTGCCATTTTCTTTATTAAGCCTTTGACTTCCTCTTGGAGACCAGTGACATATATCCAAGAACCTTTCCATGAATTTTGAAGGTCTTTTACTAACCCTTCCCCCAGCAGAATGAGCAAACATATTTTAATGCTGTGAAAATAAGGAACATAAGTTGAAAGAACCATTTCCTTTAAAAAGTCTTGGAATACTTTAAGGTAGAGACCACAATGCTTATCTGAAATTTCAAAATAATACTAATCATCATCTACACATAAACTTTACATATAATTGTGAAAATCTCAAAGAAAAAGCTTTGAGTGTACAGTCTGTTAGTCTAGTCCATTATCTCGTTAGGGTTGTAATGAAAATACTATTTTATTAATACTATCTTAGGTCTCTAGAGAAAAATCAAATTTATGTGTAACAAGATTATCACAGGAAAAATAGTTTTATGTAAAATAGACTTTGAACTATCCTTGAGCAAGCTCTGGCTTGATTTCTTGAGTGCACTTTAAAATTTCTCAAGACACAAAAAATTACATATTATTGTGGCACAATTCCTATTATTGAATCAGGAAAAGGTGACTTAGGCTTTGGCTTTGTTTCCTAGGCCATAGAAATGAAGGGCTAGGTTCTAGTTGGCCATCTTTGACTTAAGACACATTACTGGGCTTTGCCTCCACCTGCTTCACCTGGTGGTCCTTTTTATATTTCCTCCCATGGGGACAGGTACTGCCAGGTATGAGGCATCCCATGGTGCTCGCCCGCCCTTCCTTCTTTTCTTTTCTTTTCTTTCTTTCTTTCTTTTGAAACTGAGTTTAACCCTTGTCGCCCAGGCTGAAGTGTAATGTGTGATCTCGGCTCACTGCAACCTCTGCCTCCCAGGTTCAAATTATTCTCCTGCCTCAGCCTCCTGAGTAGCCTGGATTACAGGTGCCCACCACCATGCCCAGCTAATTATTGTATTTTTAGCAGAGACAGTGTTTCATCATGTTGGCCAGGCTAGTCTCCTGACCTCAGGTGATCCACCTGCCTTGGCCTCCCAAAGTCTGGGATTACAGGCGTGAGCCACTGTGCCCAGCCATCTCTCCCTTTCTCATAGGCCCTGAATAGGTCAGGCTGAGTCAAAGTGTGCAGGGCTCCACCACATTTATAAAGGATGAAAATCTCCTTCACAATACTGGGTCCAATAAAACCTCATTTTCTGTAGTTTTCTAATGTTTACCTATATGGGCTACTCATCAGGATCAGTGGGAAATTTAACCCATCTCAGCTCATTTCTCAAGGAGTGAAGATAGTGCAGGCAGGTCCCACCTTCTTTCTAGGATCACAAAAAATCTGTGGCATGATGTACAATCCAAAAAATTTAGGGGAAAGGACTCTGGTCTTCAGTCCGTTTTGACCACCTCTGAAGTGTTGTCAATGCTTGCATAAATTATTAGCAGGCAGTCACCTCTACTGCTTTCACTTGAAGCTCAAGTAAGAGTATCTTATTTCCCGAAACCATGACACTTGTTCAGTTCCCAAGCATCACCAAGCTACCCTCACTGAGAGTTTATTCCTTCTCCTGGAGTGCCATGTGGGAGTGGATCAGGGATTCCCATCACTCTCACATCTGTCTTCAACGTGTTTCAGGAAAAATACACTGGAATTCAGATCAGAATCTATCTTCACCTCAGAATCTGTGTTCGCCCTCTCCTCCTTCTTCCCTCCAATGCTTCCGAAGCACAAAATGGTTTACTTCCTTGAGGGCAAACAAGGGAAATGGGGATGTTGATAGGGTCTTCAATATCCTGGAGCTTTTCAAAGAAAGGAACTTTCATTCCTAGATGTACTTTGGGTAATGATAATTCATTCCATTAAGTATCTAAACATGAGTTACTATATGATACTAAAAACAAATTAAATGTAAACATTATTGATTAATGTAAACATTGAAGCACATAATAAAAGTTTCATAATTATTAAAATCACAAGTCTAATAGATTATCTTAAATAGTATATACACATCTAACAAGCTAAAAAACACAAACATATTGATTATAAAACTTATTGTTATTTTTATACCTAAAGCAGTTAAAAAGTATTAATAACACAGATTTAAATTTGTGATGTTTTTATTTTTGCTTTTGAGACAGAGTCTTGCTTTGTCACCCATGCTGGAGTGCAATGGCACATTCTTGGCTCACTTCAACCTCTGCCTCCTGGGTTCAAGTGATTCTGCTGTCTCAGCCTCCTGAGTAGCTGAAATTACAGGTGCCCGCCATCACACCCAGCTAATTTTTGTATTTTTAGTAGAGACGGGGTTTCACCATGTTGGCCAGGCTGGTCTCAAGCTCCTGATCTCAAGTGATCTGCCAACCTCAGCCTCCCAAAGTGCTGGGATTACAGGTGTGAGCCACTGCACTGGCCTAAATTTGTGATTTTTGTTATTTCTACACTATTCTCGTTATTTCTCATTCAGTTTAGGATTGAGAACTATTAATCCTAATTAATATTTAGGATTAATAGCTTAAATATTAGGATTACAGAAATATTAATTATATTAATTAATATATTAATATGATTACAGAAATATTAGTTACCTGTAGGGTTATAATTCTAAATGGAAAAAACAATAAATGTCAATGCAGATTAGCCAAGATTACAGATTCTGGATTGTCAGCATATTGAACTTGCTTGTACCTTTCAAATCTGAGCTGCTGACCTCCAGGCTGTATTGCCTTTCCTATGAATTTTTTTGTGGCATAGACTCTGATGTGGCACTTAGGTCCTTGGGCAGATCAAAACAGAATCAATAAGCACAGTGGGGATAAATCATGGAATGTTAGAGCTAGAGAATGCATTAAAATCAGTCTCTTCTCACTTCACCTTCTAAATGAAGAAAAGAAAAGGAAGCAGGCCAGGTGCGGTGGCTCACACCTGTAATTCCAGCACTTTGGGAGGTCCAGGCGAGCAGATCATGAGGTCAGGAGATCAAGACCATCCTGGCTAACACGGTGAAACTCAGTCTCTACTAAAAATATAAAAAATTAGCTGGGCGTGGTGGCACATGCCTGTAGTCCCAGCTACTCAGAGGCTGAGGCAGGAGAATCACTTGAACCCTGGAGGTGGAGGTTGCAGTGAACCGAGATTGCACCATTGCACTCCAGCCTGGGCAACAGAGTGAGACTCCATCTCAAAAAAAAAAAAAAAGAAAAAAAAAAGAAAAGGAAGCAGACACTCATGACAAGAGACTATCACAATGATCTTTGTAATAGTATAGGACTCATGAGCCTATGAACGTGATGGCAATAAAAAAGAAGGTAGCTGGGCATGGTGGCTCATGCCTGTAATCTCAACACTTTGGGAAGCTGAGGCGGGAGGGTTGCTTGAGTTCAGGAGTTTGAAACCAGCCTGGGCAACATAGCAAGATCTTGTCTCTATTAAAATTTTTTTAAAGGCCGGGCGCAGTGGCTCACGCCTGTAATCCCAGCACTTGGGGAGGCCGAGGCGGGCGGATCACAAGGTCAGGAGATTGAGACCATCCTGGCTAACATGGTGAAACCCCATCTCTACTAAAAATACAAAAACAAAACTAACCGGGCGCGGTGGCGGGCGCCTGTAGTCCCAGCTATTCGGGAGGCCGAGGCAGGAGAATGGCGTGAACCTGGAAGGCCGAGCTTGCAGTGAGCCGAGATCGCGCCACTGCACTCCAGCCTGGGTGACAGAGCCAGACTCCGTCTCAAAAAAAAAAAAAAAAGTAAAATACGGTTATAAAAAATTTTTAAAAAGAAAAAAGAAGGTGTGTATATGACATGCAGGGCGAACAAAAATTGAAGACTTTCTGATCATTGATTAGATGACAGAGAATAAGATAAAGTTTGGTTCTACAATTGTAACAGTTCTATAATCGGTAACATGGTATGAGGAGCTGATTTTATAACAAAGTATAGTATACTTACAGTAGAACTTGCCTTGTTTCTCAAGGCAGTAAGATTAGTACAGCCACTGAATGGAGAGTAGACTGCCCTTGAACAGAGCTGTCTTACATCTCCAACAGAATTGTTAACCAATTAGCTTTTCTTCATACTATGCAATAACTTTAAGTATTTTAATAACAGTACCATTCAAAGTATGATCTATAGACCAGAACCAGTATGCAAATTGTTACCAGTTCACAAGTACAGAAATTGACAAGTATTTAGAAACTTTAATAGGAATTTAACACTGCTGTGGCATCCAAGGACACAGTCAGAGTAATTGAACATAAATATCTGTCTGCAAGGATTTTAAAAATCCTAGTTGTGGTTTATTTCAGTACTATGCACAATAGCAAAGATATGGAATCACCCTAAATGTTCAGGAATAAAGCTTTAGTAGCAGTATGTCTGGGTCCATAGTCCAGCTCTGCCACTGTCTAACAGTGACTTTGGGCAAGTTTCTTCACCTCTCATACATCCTCTCTTAGCTTGGGATAATAACATTACTTACCTCTCTTTTAGCTTGCCTGGCAAAGCACATGCTGAATAAATAATAGCTATTATTATTAGCCCAACCCTAGCATTTGCATATGAGGAAACTGAGGTCCAGGAGGCCCAAGATCACATGGTTCGTCCATAATTGAACTAGGACTAGATGCCAGTGATCTTTCCTGTTCCCTTAGCTGCCTTTCACAACCCTGTTTTGCAATTCTGTAAGTTCCTAGCAATGCCTCAACATTGTGTTTATTTTGTCTTCTTAGAAAATATGAACAAAAATATGCATCAGGTTCTGTATATATTTTTATTTTGTGCATATGTAGCACTTTGTATTTTATGTTAGGGCTATGCATTCATTAGTTATGGAAATGCAATCATGTAGACCTGTAGATGAATAGAAAGGAGAAAGAACAAATGTATCTATATTGTAATTCCTGTGTATCCAGTGATGTGCCAGCACTGGCTAGCCTCTGCCTTGAGGAATCCACATATATTAAATGGGCTGGATTTACAAAACATTAAAAACCATCAGTGTGAACTTACACTGTGAATGGTTATCTCAGTTAGGGCTTTTGGTTACAAACAACAGAACCAAACAACTGTAGCAAGTTTTTATTTTATTTTTTTGAGATGGAGTCTGGCTCTGTTGCCCAGGCTGGAGTGTAACGGCATGATCTCGGCTCACTGTAACCTCCACCTCCTGGGTTCAAGTGATTCTCCTGCCTCAGCCTCCCAAGTAGCTAGGATTACAGGCACGTACCACTATGCCTGGCTATTTTTTGTATTTTTAGTAGAGACGGGGTTTAGCCATGTTGGCCAGGCTGGTCTCGAACGCCTGACCTCAGGCGATCCACCCTTCTCGGCCTCCCAAAGTGCTGGGATTACAGGCATTAGCCACCGTGCCTGGCAACTTTAGCAAGTTTTAACAAAAAATCATAGGGACAATCCTGCACTCCCTAAAGCCACCATGAGACTGTCCACAGAGCCTCTGCGAACAGCGAACACAGACTATACCACCAGGACATTTTGCTTCTGATGCTGCTGAGAGTTTTGTACCTCTTGATCAGACTCTGCACCCTTGACAGACGCTGCAAAATCTTTTTTCGCAGTGTTTTCCTTTGGGGTCAAATCTTACTTGAATTCTGCTAAGTCAAGATCCAGTGGACATGCTGGGTTCTGAGATGAGAGAGACTGGGAAGGTGAGATTTATAGCATCCCACTTACAGAGCTAGCATTTGCAGTATAGGAAGTTACCAACATTTAGAAAGAGTGTTCAAAAGATTCTGAGAGGCCACAGGTATGCCAATGCCCACTATGACGTATATGCAAAAAATGTCTCATTCCTATGTCCCAAACATTTTCACCACAAGGCATATGCAGAGTCAGATGGTTCACCTATTAAACAATAAGCAATAAAATCAATATTTCTGGGGGAGTTAATAGGAGTTTAAAATTTTTCCTTTTTATTCTCTTTTCCTGTTTATCCATTGCTTTTCTTCTTATTCTTTTTCTTCACTTGTCTTTTTCTCTAAAGTTATTTCTCTGAATATATTGTTCAGAAATCTGAATAAAGACAATTGTCATTAAATTTGAAGATATTTAATTCATTCATTAAAATTGAGTGAATTTACCAATGCTTCATAGTATTAACTTATTCAAAATATTATTTAAGCACCTACCATGTGCAGGCAATATTCTAGACACCCATGGTATAGCAGTGAATAAAAAGGACAAGAGTCCCTGTCTCTCTGATGGAGACAGGTGGAATTTTAAATTACCTCAAGACGTTACAGAAAATAATCAACAAAGTAGGATGATTTTTCAATAAGAGAAAAGAAAAAGTACAGTATATAATTCAGTTTTCAACAACAAAGCTCTAAGTGTCAGAGGCATTCGAACCAGAGCAACTCCATCTTGAATAAGGACTGAGAAAAATAAGGCTCAGACCTACTGGGCTGCCTTCCCAGGAGGTTAGGCATTCTTAGTCACAGAATGAGATAAGAGGGTAGCACAAAATATAGGTCGTTGGGGTGATCAGACCCAACACCAGGTCGTGGGGGTGACGAAGTCTGGCAGAGTCAAAGGGTTGAGAAAAAGACAGTTTGAGAAGTAAAGTGGAACCAGGGGCCATCGCGATTGGGGAGGCTGCAAAGGCCCCAAGCTCTGGGAGCCCACACTATTTATTGGTAATCCAACAAAGAAACAGGTGGTGAGAATGTGGCGGTCAAAAGGGCAGGTGCCTGATCTATAGCTGTGATGGTTTAGCATTTATAAGGAACATGTTCTGGTACTTGAGATGATGGGAATACAATCTATTTAGGAGCCTAGGAGGGCTAGAAGCAAGAAGCCAGCAAGTCTAGACACATTCCAGAGGACATTATGTCAGACATGCAAGCACTGCCTCAGCTTTCTTCCCAATACTCAGCTTTTTCCCAACATGTCCCCCTTCTCTTCTTTGTAAAAGAGAAGGTATCACTATTGCTATCATTATTACTAGCATAAAAGGTGGCCTTTTTTAACTGAGCAAGGCAATTGTAGGCTGTGCACTCCTTAATTGCCAGTTGGTGATCCAGCTTCATTTTTCTTAGCCCTTTTTCAAACTGGAGTCACTCTGGTTTGAATGCTTCCCACATACCTCCCCTTTCCCTTTTACAAGAGGACCCTTAATCCTAGGGGTTGCAGAAGGATGAACGTCCATCTTCTGTAACTTCTTCATGCTGAACAGGGGTGATGATACTCCTGCCTAACTATTAGGGTCTCTTTATTCAGGGTAGAGAGGAGCTGAGTCAGAAAGCATTGGTCCGTTAAGCATTGTGACTCCAGTCGGTCCTTGTTCTTTGCATTCAGATTCAACTGGCTCATGGCTCATACTGGCGGAACCCGGTCCATGGTTGGACCCTCCCATCTCCTGTTCTATGGTCGTACCCATCTCCTGTTCTATAGTTGTACACATCTTGAGGGCATCCACACGGTTTGTTCATCTCCTGCAAAAACACAAGCATACCCCCACCCCCACATTAGTAAATCTACTGAAACAGAAGCAAAAACTTTTGTGGCTGTAGCCGAGAGGCCACTGATAATGAGAAACAGGCCCCTTCTAACAAAAGGCACAGGGAAAGCAAATCGAGGCTTTTCAAACCTTCAATTCACACTGTACAGGTGGGTCCACTAGATGCCATGGTTCATGATAGATCTTCAGATGTTTGGTGGGCACCCACAAAGGCACCTGAGTGTCACCCGAAAGACACAAACTAATCCTCTTCCCCATAAAATTATCTTTAGGCAGGGATCGGAGGAAGTAGATTCAGAGGCAAGGAGAATTTTGGGGCCTAATGGCTTCCTGATGTTTGATAGGTGTTCCCTCAGAAGTTAGGAATTCCCTTTCTCTCCATATTGCTGTGTGGGCATGGAGGACTAGGTAAGTATACTTAGAGTCTGTATATATATTTATCCTTTTTCCTTCTCCTAATTCTAGTGTATAATGGCCCCTGCTTTTGCCAGGATATCTCTCCCTAACAAAGGAGTGGGGCTTTCAGGCATAATTAGAAAGGCATGTGAAAAGAGTAAAGTTCCCCAGTCACAACTTAGTGGTTGGGAGAGGTATCTAGTGACTGCCTGTCCTAGGACCCCTTAGATAGTGACAGATCTGGAAGACAGTTGTCCGAGACAGGAGAGTAAGACTGAGAAGGCTGCGCCAGTGTCCAGGAGACAGTTAACTTCCTGGCCCTCAATGGTCAAGCATACCTGGGGCTCTCTGAGGGTGAGGGCATGGGCTGGCGCTTGCCCCGGGCACCCTCAGTCCTGCTGCTGGATCGTCTGGTTAGTGGCTTCTGACTCAGAGGACCTTCGTCCCCTGGGGCAGTGGGACTTCCAGTGATTCCCTTGACATAAGGGGCATGGACAAGGGGGCGGCTTATTTCTATTCGGACAATCTTTTTTAAAGTGTCCTTATAGACCACACTGGAAGCAAGCCCTATTAGGCATTCGATTTGCCCAGCCTTTCCCTTTCCCAGAGCCTCCAAAGTCCGCTTGCCTGAGGGCCATGACTAAAGTGGTGGCCCCCTTTTTTTTTTAATCCTGTTTGTCCTGTTCCACCTGCTCCTCCTGATCTCTATTATAAAAAACCAAGGTTGCCAAGTTCAATAGGGTTTCTAAGTTTTGCTCCAGGCCTAAGGTGGACTTTTGAAGTTTTTTCTAGTATCTGCAGCTGACTGAGTGATAAATTTATCCTGTAAGATTAGTTGGCCTTCAATAGAGTCATGTGACAGAGAGATATGTTTCCTCAATGACTCCCTTAGTCTCTCCAGAAAGGCAGTAGGATTTTCTTCTTTCCTTGTGTTATAGTGGACATCATTGAATAATTTATAGGCTTCTGCCTAGTTTTCCTTAGTCCTTCTAGCACACAAGTTAGCAAATGTCTGTGGCACCAATCTCCGTGTTCTGATTCTGCATCCCAGTGAGGGTCTAGCCTAGGAACTGCCTGCTGGCCTGTGGGGAATTGTTCTCTTTCCTCTGTTGTCATCCTATCATTGACCTGACTGAGATACCAGAGATCACCAAACTCTCGGGCTGCAGTTATGACGGTACTTCTCTCATTTGGGGTTAGTGTCTGATCTAGCAGTAACATTATATCTCTCCATGTCAGATCAAAGGATTGTCCTAACCCTTGTAAAACATCAATACAGCCATCAGGGTTATCTGAGAATTTACCTAGGTCTATTTTAATTTGTTTCAAATCTGAGAGGTAAAAAGTTGCATACACTCTGACTAGGCCAAATTCTCCAGAATACATCTTAGGGGCGTTTTTGCCTTGTGGGGGAACATTTCCCATCTGAAAAAAGAACATAGGGATGCCAGCACCCCTAGTCATTTTCTGATAAGCATTAGTCCTAGAGTGTCGTCTATGGTCCTAATGCTTATTCCTTTCCAGGGTGCATAACCACCCATGGACTTCTGTTTATCGGACTCGTTACACTGACCAATGTACTGGTCCTGCATCTGTTTTCCCACCTTTCTTGACCACAAAGAAAGGAGTCTACGCTGCTGGATTCTAGTGGTCCTTTACCAGCATGCCCAACATTGCCTTTGAGCTCAGGGGCGAGTTCTAGAGCTGGGCTGGGTTCCTGAGTATTTCATAACAACCCAGCTGCTCCTTCAAGATGCACTCCCATAAACAATTCTTATGAAAATTTGTTTCAGAGAGGGTGTAGGTAACCTTTTGTGTCAGGATTAAGATAGAGTTTTTTTTATTCTGTAAGTACTTCAAGGCTTGGCTGACTGCAAACAGCTCGCACATTTGAGCAGACCAATTATTAGGCGATTTTTCTAACTCTGTTTCTACAAGAGTCTCCCTATCAATTACTGAATACCTGCTGTGGTTTTATCCCCTCAATCACCCAGGAGGAGCCATCTATCCTCCTGTCCTGAAGGGAGTTCCTCCTAGGTCTGCTCAGACCTTTGTATGGTAATTAAGATTTAAATCCCTCATTAAGAAACCTGCTGGGTTAAGGGAATTTTCAGTGGTTAATATTAAATCACCTTTTTCTAACAGAATAGCCCCATACTTTAAGATTTTTTAGTTAGTAAGCTACCTTTTTGCTTTTTTTTCTTAGGATAGCCCTGGACTGGTGAGGTGTGCTCACAATGAGGTTTCCTCTAAAGGTTATTTTTCCACTTTCTTCTGTTAGCGAAGCAGTTGCTGCTACCGATGGAATGCATTTGGACCATTCACGGGTTACTGGGTTAGGGATTTTTTGATAGGAAGGCTAGTGGTGGTCAGTGGTCTCAGTGCTTTCGGGCTACACCCTTGTTTACACTGACAACAAGGTAGTATTGGAGAGTTATAGAGTCACAGAGAAGACCCTCAACTATCAATTATATGTTTTAAACTTACCCTGGCTTTTAAAGGAATAGGGTACACTGTTTTTCCTTTAACTACTTGTATATCTCTTTCTTTCTCCTTTGTAGATGGATTTTGGAAACACAGCAGAAGGACATTCTCTCATTGCCCCCATTTGCCACTATAGGAATATGCGCCTCACTTTAATTTACTGAATTCGTTTCCGTCCTGATCTATTATGTTGTCGTAGACCCAGTTCCAGTTATTAAAGTACTGGGTTATCAGTTCTAAGGCCCTGGCCAAGGAGCCAAGGCTTAAAGATAGTATTGCAGTGGGGTAAGCTGGGTAGAAATTGGGGAGGAGAGCATCTTAAAAGGAAAGGTGGTCCAATTAGCTATATTCTGTTCTCCCTGCTGGATTATAGTTATGGGAAATTGCCATGCTTCAAGGTCTCCCTCGGCTCTAGCCTTTTGAATAGAATTTTGTATAGCACCATCAATTGCTCCAGGTTTTAATGTTGCAACTACAGGAGCAGTAAGTTTCATAGCTAATTCATCTTCTCGCCCATTAGGGGGAGAGAGAGGAGGTGGCCTTTCACTTAATTCAGTAGGTGGAGCCGTCGGGCTAGTAAAACATACTTTTTTTTCAGTTTCTCTCTTTTTTTTTTTTTTTTTTTTTTTGAGACAGAGTCTCACTCTGTCCCCCAGGCTGAAGTGCAGTAGCGCGATCTCGGCTCACTGCAAGCTCCGCCTCCCGGGTTCACGCCATCCTCCTGCCTCAGCCTCCTGAGTAGCTGGGACTACAGTTGCCCGCCACCACGCCCAGCTAATTTTTTGTATTTTTAGTAGAGACGGGGTTTCACCGTGTCAGCCAGGATGGTCTCGATCTCCTGACCTTGTGATCTGCCCACCTCGGCCTCCCAAAATGCTGGGATTACAGGCGTGAGCCACCGCGCCCAGCCTCTGAGTTTCTTTTTCTTTTCTTTAATTTCCTCCATTTTCCGTTCCTCACATTCAGAATCTGAGGTTAGTTTTTTACACTCATCCTCCTCTTCCTCATCTGAATCTGCCTCATCATCTGTTTGAAATGGCTCAAGAGCTACTTTTATTAGTGCCCACATTGACCAAACCGAGACTGGAATTTTTGCTCCATCTTTATACACTTTTTTTTAAATCTCTGCCAATTCTCTCCCATTCATCCAACTCCATAATCCCTTGTTCCAGGAACCATGGGCAAAGCTGCTTTACTGCACTAAAGAGTGATAACAAATTACTATCTTTCCCCCTCTTCATAATCAATGCCTTAAGAAATTTAAATAAGCAGAATGTCTGCTTTCACTTTGTCCCATTGTTACCCTCGTTCTTCTGAGCGCTCAGCTTTCCCGCTGAGCTTCTTTTAGACATCCTCGGGTGTCCTTCGAGGATGCGTCCTCCGCTTTCACATGCTCTAGCATTCCTTCACTGGGGCCTTTGTTACCTCACATTGAGTGCCAGGAATGTTGGGGTGATCAGACCCAACACCAGGTCGTGGGGGCGACAAAGTCCAGTGGAGTCAAAGGATTGAGAAAAAGTTTGAGAAGTAAAGTGGGACCAGGGGGCCATCGAGATTGTGGAGGCTGTGAAGTCCCCAAGCTCTGTGAACCCACGCTATTTATTGGTAATCCAACAGCAACAACAAAAAAAACAGGTGGTGAGAATGTGGATGTCAAAAGGGCAGGCGCATGATCTACAGCTGTGACGGTTCAGCATTTATATGCAACATGTTCTGCTACTTGAGATAATGGGAATACAATCGATCTAGGAGCCTAGGAGGGCTAGAAGCAAGGAGTCAGCAAGTCTAGACATATTCCAGAGGACATTATGTCAGACATGCAAGCCCTGCTTCAGCTTTCTTGCCAACACTCAGCTTTTTCCCAATAATAAGTCACAAAGACCTTGCTGATAAAACACGATGCAGTAAAGAAGCTAGCCAAAACCCACCAAAACCAAGGTGGCAAGGAAAGTGACCTCTGGTCATCCTCACTGCTCATTATAGGCTAATTATAAGACATTAGCGTGCTAAAAGACACTCCCACCAGTGCCATGACAGTTTACAGATGCCATGGCAATGTCAGGAAGTTACCCTCTTTGGTCTAAAAGGAGGAGGAACCCTCAGTTCTAGGAATTGCCCACTGCCTTCCCAGAAAACTCATGAATAATCCACTCCTTGTTTAGCATATAATCAAGAAATAACTCTAAGTGTACTTGGTCAAGCAGACCATGCCACTGCTGTGCCTATGGAGTAGCCATTCTTTTATTTCTTTGCTTTATTTTTTTTTTTGAGACAAAGTCTCGCTCTTGTCACCCAGGCTAGAGTGCAATGGCACAATCTTGGCTTACTGCAACCTCTGCCTCCCAGGTTCAAGTGATTCTCCTGCCTCTGCCTCCTGAGTAGCTGGAATTACAGGTGTCTGCCACCACACCTGGCTAATTTGTGTATTTTTAGTAGAGATGGGGTTTCACCATGTTGGGTAGGCTGGTCACAAACTCCTGACCTCAAGTGATCCGCCTATATGAGTGATGTCTTTCTAAGAGGAGAACAGATAGAAAGACCAACACACAGAGAAGACAGCCATGGGAAGACAGAGGCAGAGACTGGTGGCATTTACAAGCCCAGGAACACCAAGGATTGCCTGCAACCTCCGAAGCTAGGATGAGGCAAGGAAGAATCCTCCCTTAGAGCCCTCAGAGAGAGCATGTCCCTGTCAACACCTTGGCCCTGCCAACACCTAAAATCAAAGCCTTGATTTCAGCCTCCAGAACTTTAAGATAAATACCTGTCTGTTGTTTTAAGCCACCAAGTCTGTGGTACTTTGTTACAGCAGTCATAGGAGACTAAACTAATCACTGAGGGCAAGATACAGGAAACTGGGAGATGAGGCACCAGGAGTGGTCCCTGCAATGTGTGTTTATGGTGGTACGAGGAGGCAATATGAGGCTCCAGTTCAGGAAGCAACACTGTGGTTTTCCTGGAGTTGCCATGAGCCAACTCCAGGAAAAATTCAGCCTGGTCCAGGCTGGTCCAGGATGAATTTTTTATAAACTCATAAATCTTTGGGGCGATGATTTAACAGGGTGGTTTCAAAAAAGAGAGAGAATATTCCTTTTATTCTTTGAACACAACCCTAGATTTTCGCTGTTAAGTGAATATAATACCGTTTTGGTTGGCAAGATGAAGTATGAGCTTCAAACCATAACCAGTAGAGGGCATTATGCAAAACAGGCAGACACATAAAGGAAGTCATTGACAAGCCATTTTTTGAAACATATCATGTAGTGATTTAGACCTTAATTAAATGTTAACATTGCATTTAGACCAGAGAATGCTGCTGAATACAATGCTGAGTAAACTAAAAACAGTTTAAAGACCTTTATTACTTTGTATCAGTCTTTTTATTTTATACTTACATAGTTTGTATTAATGGCTTGATGCTTTGTTTCAGGGTTTGATATATCATGTGTCCCTGGTAATATACTTGTATCATATACTTTGTATTATATAGTTTGTATAAGTGGTTTAATATGTTATGATGCTTGGGTTACCCATCTTGGCTGTTCCCAAGTACAGCCCTGACACCTCCTGTAAGGGTCCAGCCTCTAAATCCAGTGGCCTGCTGGACATCTTCATCAGGATGCTTTACCTGGAGCACATCATATGACTGAACTCATTTTTTTTTTTTTGAGATGGAGTCTCGCTCTGTTGCCAGGCTGGAATGCAGTGGCACAATCTCGGCTCACCGCAACCTCCGCCTCCCAGGTTCAAGTGATTCTCCTGCCTCAGCCTCCGGAGCAACTGGGATTACAGGCATGCACCACCACACCCAGCTAATTTTTGTATTTTTAGGAGAGACGGGGTTTCACCATGTTGGCCAGGCTGGTCTTAATCTCCTGACCTCGTGATCCACCCACCTCGGCTTCCCAAAGTGCTGGGATTACAGGCGTTGAGCCACTGTGCCTGGCCTCAACTCATTATTTTATCCCCAGACCTGCTTTGCCTCTGGTATTTCTTATGCCAGTTAATGACATTGCCCAAACCAGAAACTTTGAAGTCATTGCTGGCTCCATCCTCTCCCTCTCCCTTTCAAGAATCCAATTAGGAAATTCCACCAATTTAACTTCTCAATGATTTCCTTGCCTTTCAGTATTCACCACTATTCCGTGCCTCTAGTTCAGACAGACCCCTCTCTGACCACTTCCTCTTGGCCTCTTGTCAACTTCTCCTTCTTCTTCTCCTAAACAGTAAATGCCAACACCCTTTGGCCTGCTTTTCTTCTGCCCAACCCTAGACCCTTCCCCATCACGCGGGCGCGGACACACACACACACACACACACACACACACACAGCTTCTGTCTCATTCATTGTCATGGCTTCAGTTACAGGATGAAGATTCACATTTACATCTCCAGCTTGTGTCTGGGAGCCTACGTACTGTCTCTACTTAAATGTTTTATAGATACCTCAAACCTAACTCTTCCAAACTAAATTTATCATTTCCCCTTAAATCTTTTACCCTTTACCATTCTTTATCTCTGAAAAGGCAACACCATTCTCCCATCTGCTTCAGCGAGTGACCCGGAAATTCATCTTGACTCCTTTATTCTCCCTTTACAAGTCTTCTTGATTCTACCTCTCAGGTATCTTTTGACTCTTCATTCTCATTTTCATCACCTGATACAAGTTTATGCTAATACCATCTCTATCTTGCACACCTTAAAAGCAACATCCTTGACCAGGTGCAGTGGCTCATGCCTGTAATCCTAGCACTTTGGGAGGCTGAGGTGGTTGGATTGCCTGAGCTCAGGAGTTCAAGACCAGCCTGGGCAACACAGTAAAACCCCATCTCTACTAAAATACAGCAATGACAAAATTAGCCAGGCATGGCAGCGTGCACCTGTAGTCCTAGCTACTTGGGAGGCTGAGGCAGGAGAATTGCTTGAACCTGGGAGGCAGAGGTTGCAGTGAGCCGAGATCACGCCACTGCACTCCAATCTGGATGACAGAGTGAGACTCCATCTCCAAAAAAAACCAAAAAGCAAAACAAAAACAAACAAACAAAAAAACAACATCCTCCCAACTACTTCATCTGTTCTCTCCCCACACACATACCCTGTACATCGCTACCGGAGCGATCTCATGCAAACCCTTCAGTGTCTCTCCACTGCCTAAAGGATAATGTTCAAACTCTTCAGTGACATAACACACTCGTAGCAGGCCCTCATTGTGTGATCCCTAACTCTTCAGGTTATACTCTCATTACACTCCACCTCCCTGCATCTGATGCTCCAGAAATATTGAACTATGTGTAGTTCTCTGCTCCCATCACACTTCAGAACTCCCATATAATCTCTTCTTTCTGCTTGGGATGGTCTCACTTATTGTCTGCCTGTACACACACTCCTTTTCAGCCTGCAGAACTTGCTCAGTCATCGCCATTTTTGAGTATTTCTTATTCCTCATTTTTCTGGAACAGAATTTTGACTTCTTCTGTGTTACATTTCTGAGCTGTGTACATATTTGAAACTATCTACTTATCTGACTTTCTCTCTAACTAGAACACTTTTTCACAAGGAAAGGAACTATATTTTCATCACGACAGCATCTACCACAGTGCCTTACAGATAGCAAAACTCAATAAATGTTGAACTAAAGTTCTGCTTGTCGTGGATGAAGAAAACCACTTCACATGGTGTAATAGATGGAATTTTGGGAAAATTATTTCAAGTGATAAAAATAAAGATTTTGTTAAGCAATGATATTGCTATGTCATATATTTAGATGTTAATAAAAATTAATCTAAGACAATTCCATAAAAACGGAAAAGTCAATTTCTGCACTCAAACTACACCTTATTGCCTTAGAAACAGAGTATTTTGACTCTTGTTATCATCGTTCATAATTTATGAGTATGTCTTATCTCCCCTATCTCTAAAATATACCCAAAATCTGTCCCCTTGATTCCATTGCTAAACTAAACTGCAGCTCCGGGCCACCATCATATCTCATCTGGACTACTGCAAAAGCCACCTGACAGGTCTTCTCCACATGGCAGCTGTAGTGCTCCTTTTTAAATATATGAATAGATCAGATCATGTCACTTTCCTGTTACAAAACCTCCAATTGCTTCCCATTGTACCAGAATATTCAAACTCCTTAACATGGCCTACATGGTCCTAAATGATCTGCTCTTCTGCACCCACACTACCTCTGTGGCTGAGCCTGTTCCACCACCTTTCCCACAGTACTTCTGCCTCACTAGCTGTTAGTGTTCATTGACCGGGTTAGCATCTTAGAGCCTCTGCACCTGTTCCCTCCACCTCCACAACCCTGCATGGCAGTCTTCTCCTGTCATGCAGATGTCAGCTCAAATGGCATCTCCTTAAAGAGGTCCCCTTTCCCACCCAATTTAAAGCAGCTCCCAGACACCCTGTTCTGTTTTCTCTCTCTCTCTTTTTTTTTTTCTGAGACGGAGTTTTACTCTTGTTGCCCAGGCTAGAGTGCAATGGTGGAATCTCGGCTCACTGCAACCTCCACCTCCCGGGTTCAAGCAATTCTCCTGCCTCAGCCTCCCGAGTAGCTGGGATTACAGGCACGTGCCACCACACCCAGCTAATTTTTGTATTTTTCATAGAGACGGGGTTTCCCCATGTTGGCCAGGCTGGTCTCCAACTCCCAACCTCAGGTGATCCACCCACCTTGGCCTCCCAAAGTGCTGGGATTACAGGCGTGAGCCACCACGCCCGGCCATTTTCATTTTTAACCACTTAGCAGTAGAGCTGAGTGGTAAAGCACATGAGCACTAGGCTCAGACTCTGGGCTCACATACCAGCTGGATGGCTTGGGCAAAGCACTTCATCTTTCAGTGCCTGTTTTTAGAGTAACAATGGTACCTATTTCGTAGAATCGTTATGAAGCTAAATTAGTTAATATATTCAAAGTGCTTACCACAGAATTACCTCATAGCAAGGCAAATTAATGCATGTTGCTTATTAATTTTTGTTTGTTTATTGTTTGGCTCTTCCTTCTGTATCATGCTTACATCCTCCCCTGAACCCCTCCCCACCACCCTCCAAGCATATAAAATCAAAGAGTCGAAACCTTACAGCCTGCCTGCCACAACTTCTTTATTTCCCAGTGTAGGCCAGGTATGTTTGTTGAATGAATGAAGTATTGAAAACAAGTGATGAAGGTGTTTATACTTATCTCAAATTAGTCTCATTTTAAAAAACTCTCAGATCTACAGAGGCTCTCAGATTTCTGATCTGAGAATTACTACAGTTTCTTTGTTCTTTCTTAGTTTCTATCTCTTAGTGTACTGCTTAAGGGAAGCCACACTTCACTGAGAGGCAGAAATAAATATTGCTACTATCACTTACAAACTAGAGGAATATGAGTAAGCCATTTGGCTGCGCTAATCCTCAAGAGGCTCATCTATAACACCGAGTGTGTTAACTGCTGGTGGAAGAGGGAAGGCTGAGTTAGGTGTGGGGATTTTTGGATTTGTTTGCTTGTTTGTTTTTGGTTCGGTTTGGTTTTGTCATTAGCTCTAAGATCTATGTTTTTATGAACATATAGTCAAAATCTAAGAGAAAAGTATTGTCGACAAGGTAAAACTTGGATTTATTTTGCAGATTTCCTGAAAGCAAGTAATGTAACTAAATCCAGTAGTCAGCTTGGTTTATATCTCCAGGATTATTCCTAATCACCCATAAAGATTAGCTTCTGGCTGGGCGTGGTAGTTCACACCTGTAATCCCAGCACTTTTGGAGGCTGAGGCAGGTGGATCACCTGAAGTCAGGAGTTCAAGACCAGCCTGGCCAACACGGTGAAACCCTGTCTCTACTAAAAATACAAAATTAGCTGGGCTTAGTGGCAGGCATCTGAAATCCCAGCTACTCGGGAGGCTGAGGCAGAATGGCTTGAACCCGGGAGGCAGAGGTTGCAGTGAGCCAAGATTGCACCATTGCACTCCAGCCTGGGTGACAAGAGCGATGCTCTATCTCAAAAAAAAAAAGAATAGCTTCTAATTTTCTACACATATACTCACACACAAACATAAACATAAACATTCCTATCTGTTTAGAGTTATGAGTTTAACCAGTAACTTAAAAGACAGAGAGAGAGAGAGAGAGAGAGAGAGAGAGAGAGAGAGAGAGAGAGAGAGGCCAGGTGCCGTGGATCATGCCTGTAATCCCAGCACTTTGGGAGACTGAGGTGGGCAGATCACAAGGTCAGGAGTTTGAGACCAGCCTGGCCAGCATGGTGAAACCCCATCTCTACTAAAAATACAAAAATCAGCCAGGTGTGGTGGTGGGCACCTGTAATCCCACCTACTGAGGAGGCTGAGGCAAGAGAATTGCTTGAACCCAGGAGGTGGAGGTTGCAGTGAGCTGAGATCGTGCCATTGCACTCTAGCCTGGGCGAAAAGAGCAAGACTCCGTCTCAAAAAAAACAAAAAACAAACACCAAAAACAAACAAAACAAAAAAAAAAGAGAGAGAGAACTTGCTTGAAATACCATGAAAGTGTGCCCTTCTTATCAGTTTTCCTTCAATGTTGAAGAAGAAGCCAACTGTTTCCTAAAAATCTCATTATCAGAACCAAATTTATGGTTATTTCACTTCTATTAATTTGATTAAATTAAAATTACCATCTTAAGATGCATAATTATATATACTAGGTGTTTTAAGACCTTCATCAATAAGTTTGGAGTTGTCATCCTACCACTTTCTTGAAACAGGTCTTCTAACTGTTTTCCTTCTGGATTTCTGGTTGAAATTTTGCTAGTGAAGTTTTCTCTCTCCCATTCAGTACTCACCCACCCCTCCTCACCCCCAATCATTAACAAGAAATCTGGGTTTAAGTGTATTTCTGCTACCATTGACTCACTGAAAGAATTTTTCAGGTGATATCCACACGTTTCTCCAATAAAAAGTTATTATTTTTTCCCTTTGTAGTAATTTGTGGAGAGATCTTCTGATGAAGGACCAAAATTCTGTGTCAAATTTTTACCCTCTAGTTTTAGCATTCATTTATGATTTTCTATGGATACTAGCTGGCATTCTATTTTAAGAAAAGCCTTTCTTCTTTCCTCATTTATTTATATTAATATAGATTGTTGAGTTTTATTTTAATCAATGGGTTATCCATTATGATGATTTATATTGATGGTAAAATTATCCCAGCTTCAGCCACTGGGAGACCCTTCAAGCTGGCAGCTGTGGACCTTTGACCAGTTCCTATCATTTTTTGAGCACTTCCGCATCTCTGGCACAACAGGTTCATCTTGTACTTTACAGCCCCAGCCCTGGTATCAGCCTTTTCTCCAGAGGTTGTGTCAAAAAGCCGTGGTTCCTCTTATTGGAGCATAGGATTTAGAAACCAAGACTTGGGTGCTAGATGTACTACTGGCCTTTCATTGCTTGAGCCAGAAGAATTTAATATCTTCTTTTGCCATATATCAGCTAGAACTTACAAACCACTCCAAGTCTGGCTCCAGAAAACAGAATTTTTATATCCTTTCTCAGTACTCTGAGTCAGAATGACCCACTTGCTTTGTCCAGAGACTCGTCACACTGAAACTATTTTCCGTTTGAGACCTTCCAGGAGGAAAGCCATCCTCACACGCATGCAGTACAAACCAGTGTCCTCCAGAGTCCGCTGTGCCTACGGCCAGAGCAGCGACAGAGCCTTCCTCAAACCTGTAGTGACTGCCACACTTTGCAAGGACACCGTAGAGGGGGCATGTCCGCGCTCCAACTTCCTCCCGACGCAGCCTCTGATTGGCTCCTGGGCTTATAAGAAACGCGTGAATGAGCAGCTGCCGCGGGCAGAAAGTTGCCGGAGGTCTCCGGGTGGTATCGCCCTTTCCTCTTTGCCAGCCCGCTGGCGAGCCGAGCCAGGGCAAGATGAGGTCGTCCTGTGTCCTGCTCACCGCCCTGGTGGCGCTGGCCGCCTATTACGTCTACATCCCGCTGCCTGGCTCCGTGTCCGACCCCTGGAAGCTGATGCTGCTGGACGCCACTTTCCGGGGTGCACAGCAAGTGGTGAGGTGCAGCCCAGCGCTGCTTCTCTCTTCCTCCTCTTACGCAATATTTGAAGGGGATACAAAATTCCTCCGCCGGGTTCCACGAAAACGCAGGTTTTTCCTAATGCATTGAGGCTGTCGCTTTTTGAGGTGGTCCAGTCGGGAATTTTCAGGGTATCGCATTCGCCTCCTTGCTAGCAGCGGGCTAGATCTGCATTTCCCCGTCTGCGTTTGTGACGGGGAAGAAGTGCTTGAATAGAATTTGACAACTGTTTAAACCTTCGTCTGTCCTAAATATCTTCCTCTTCCTTGGTTTGCAACGTCAAAAGGCAAATCCTTAAGCAGTTTATAAACCACCCTTCTTCACACTGTCGTTCTCCCATAGGGACCGGCAGAGGATAAATATTTTTAGGAGAGCTCGGGAAAAGCAGGCTCTGGTTCCTGGGAATGCAGCCACCTTAGAAGCAGAAGCAGGCAAGGGCAGTCTCGCAATGTCCCCAGGCTGTGGAGCGCTCCGTTCCCGGAGACAGCAGGCAGGGCTCTCCATCCAAGCACTTGAGGAACCATAGGGATCTCTCGTTTCACCCGAGGCAGATCTCAGCTCAGCCCAAGAAAGAGGACTGGGAGGCTGGGCTGGCTGAAAGGAGGTGAGGAGGCGGCAGCCCTGGTTTGCATGATGCATGTTTTCTGCTTGCCCTGCAGCATTTATTTTATGTCCTTGGCTGTCAGATAACCTTTTCCTGAGCGAGGTTACCTGCCTTAACCTGGGAGGGTAACATTTCTCTCCACTGTATCATGGGCGTGTGTTCATTCCTTCCATACACAGGAAAATATAACTGTCTCTGGTTTATTCCATGGTAAGAGGCATTATTTTTAGTGTCAGAGAATCTAAAATCTAAACTACAGTCTGCAGCCAAGGCTGAGCCCTCTGATTGGACAGTATTTCTGAGCAGCCTGCTCTATCTAAACTCTAACCTTCTCCAAAACCAAGCCTCCTCCCTCCCCACAACCTTGGGCTTTAATCTCAGAATATTTTTATAAACTCTTTCTTTCAGAAATGACAACTAGAGAAAGAGAAAAAAAATCATTTCAACCTGAGAAAGCTGATTTTAAAAAAGTCATGATTTTCCCAGAGGGTTTATGTTCCTGTTCCCTGTCCACTCATTATGTGTAGGATTACATAATCTGTGGGGCTTTATCCTATGAAAAGTCCCCTTACTAGGATATTGCAGCACATTCCTAGCGTGGATTTGCTTTTCCTGAATTCAGCCACATTCTCACCTCCAAAGCCCCTTTTGTCTCTTAGGAAAGGTCTATGAAGCTATAGACCCCTGCCCCCCTTCTTTTCCTCTTGCTTCCTATAATGTTGACATGGTGAAAATGATCATCCCCTTCTTTAGCACTGGTGTCAAGAAAGTCAGTCTTGTTGTAGGAAGCCTTGCATTCCCTCTCCTCCCCCATGAAATTATGTAATTTGAAAGTAATACCCTTCAAAGATTGAGGAACAGTGATGTTTACCTGGGTGGGTTAATGGTCTACTACAATAACTTAAACAGAGGAAAACAGGAAAAAGATCAAACTGCTGTGTTGGCTGCAGAGATTATTCTTAGTTTTCAGGTCACCAAAGAAGTCTTCTCCATCATAAGTTAATCTCGGACAAGCTAGGTTTGGAGAAAAGCTTTTCTTTCCCAGCTAGGCTTGCCAGCCCATTAAGGACAAGGCTGTGTAAGGTCCTCCACAGAGTATACCCTCAGGTGGTGCTTGGGAATGATAGTGGGTGTAACCTGAAGTCAGCAATAGATGAGGTAACCAGTGTTCTCACCTGACACTGTGGCTCAGGAGTGGATTTGCAGAAAAATGGCTCTTATCACTTCTCCTCTAAATTGTGAAATATCAGAAAGATCATTATGATCAGATGGAAACATATTCTACCCAATAAAGCAATTTTCCAGTGTCACCTCAAATCTTCCTGAGTTTTCCCTGTAAAATAGGGCAAAAAACTACCTTGTAGGTTTGCTATAAGGTTTAGTAATGTATTTAAGTGCCTGGTACTTGTAGTGAGTCTTCTAGTTGTCCCCAAGGGTCCATTGTGGATTGTGGGAACATCTATAAGAATGCTTACCTTTTTTGAAGCAATAAAATAAATGTAAACTGGAAGTAATTTATGTGATTGAAACCTGGAGTGCTACTACTAAATTACCTGGTGTCATGGCCTGGGGCGGTGGCTCACGCTGTAATCCCAGCACTTTGGGAGGCCGAGGCGGGTGGATCACGAGGTCAGGAGTTCGAGACCAGCAGCCTGGCCAACATAGTGAAACCTCTTTCTACTAAAAATACAAAAAATTAGCCAGGGCTGGTGGCAGGTGCCTGTAGTCCCAGCTACTTGGGAGGCTGAGGCAGGAGAATCGCTTGAACCTGGGAGGCGGAGGTTGCGTTGAGTCGAGATTGTGCCACTGCACTCCAGCCTGGGCAACAAGAGTGAAACTCTGTCTCAAAAAAATATATAAATAAATAAATTGCATGGTGTCAACCTCGTTACTCAGATAATTTTAGTTTGAGTTGATTGGCTCAACTACAAAAGCAATTTAAGCTGTTTGAGAGATTAAGCTCAGCCTATTTCCTAAGACAGCATCAGCTGCCTACCATTAAGAAATGTGAATGTTAGTTTATTCTGTTGTCATTGGCAAATACTTTATGCTTTAGCATTTTTTATGTCCTTTATCTTGTGCAGTGAGTCAGACTATTGAGATTATGTTCATTGTGCTTTTTTTCCTTGGGGTTCCCCATATTCCTTAAGAAGCAGCTACTTAGGATCTCTCTGACTCCTCTCAAACACAGATGCTATGTCAGAATCACCTAAGAACTGTTTAAAACAAACCAAACCAAAACAAAACACTTGATGCCCAGGTTACACCACATACCAAACTTACTTAGAATCTCTGGGAGATGAACGTTCTTAGCAGTGTTTAAGAAAAGTTCCAGCCGGGCGCGGTGGCTCACGCCTGTAATCCCAGCACTTTGGGAGGCCGAGGCGGGCGGATCACGAGGTCAGGAGATCAAGACCATCCTGGCTAATACGGTGAAACCTCGTCTCTACTAAAAATACAAAAAAATTAGCTGGGCGTGGTGGCAGGCTCCTGTAGTCCCGGCTACTCGGGAGGCTGAGGCAGGAGAATGGCGTGAACCCGGGAGGTGGAGCTTGCAGTGGGCCGAGATCAGGCCACTGCACTCCAGCCTGGGCAACAGTGTGAGACTCCGTCTCAAAAAAATAATAATAATAAAAATAAAAAACGAAAAGTTCCCCAGATGATCTTCATTGCAGCAAAACTTGAGAACCACTGCTCTATAAGATAAAAGGCATTGCTGTTGTAGACAATATATTTTCCTTAAACTGCGTGTTATATTGCATACGTGTTGCTGGAAATGAGCCCTTTTACATTAGCATGGATTAGTTTATCAGATTAGTTGACACTTTGGCCCTAAGGGGATAAAATACTAGCTAGGCAAATTTCTGTGTTATAGCAAAGCCACCATAAGACTTGAGCAGTGGAAAAGCACAAACAAAAGTAGGTCTGAGAAGGGCAGAGGTGTAATTTAGATGATCAGGCAGCAGGAGACTAGAGGAACAAAAGAAGAGAGTTTGGGGAAGTCCTGAAGGCTGATTTCCAAATGCTATGCAGACAAAGATTTTTTTTTTTAAATGGTAATCTCAGTGCAGGTTAAAATACTAAGTGTACACTGCTGGAGAAAATGTATGTTAGAACCACGTTTTTGGAGAACAGTTTGGCAATATCCATCAAAGCCTTATAAGTGTGTTTATTTTTTGACCCCGTAATCCCTCTAGATGGAATTTATGGTAAGTAATGATGGATATAGGCAAACCTCTAGCTATAAAGATGGAAACATTTTACAGGATTAAAAAACTTGTTCATCAGCACCGTAAGACAAAGAAAAAAAACAAAAACTTGTTGAACTTGTCTAAAAGCACTGCCACTTATAATAAACGTGAAGTAAAATCGAGCAATCTTTTTTTCTTTTATTTGCAGCACCATTTAAACGAATGAAGGTCGGGTGTGGTGGCTCATGCCTGTAATCCTAGCACTGTGGGAGGTCGAGGCGGGCGGGTTACCTGAGGTCAGGAGTTCAAGACCAGCCTGGCCAACATGGTGAAACCCCGTCTCTACTAAAAAATACAAAAAATTAGCCGGGTGCAGTGGTGCGCGCCTGTAATTCCAGCTACTTGGGAGGCTGAGGCAGAAGAATCGCTTGAACCAGGGAGGTGGAGGTTTCAGTGAGCCGAGATGGTGCCACTGCACTCTAGCCTGGGCTACAGTGAGACTTCGTCTCAAAAAAAAAAAAAAAAAAAGAAAAATGTAAGAACAGTAAAAGATTAAATAATGGTAAATTCATATTTGGGAATACTAGGCAGTTAAAAAAATTTAGGTTGTAAAATGTTTAATGACTTGCAAAAGATTTGTACCATGTGTTAAGCAGGAAAAGGCTACAAAATAGATCATACACTATTTATATATCAAAACATGTATCTATGTTTGTATAGAAAAAGCAGAAAGATATAATTTAAAACATGATTTTTTTCTTCTGGGCCATAAAGTTGTATCTTCAGTTTTCGTATTGGTGTATTCTAGATTTTCTACAATGAACATGTAGTAATAAATTATTTTAAAGCTTTTTTTAATCCAGGCATGGTAGCTCATGCCTGTAACCCCAGCACTTTGGGAGACTGTTGTGCCAAACCCCCATTAACCTCAGTAGTGAAGGCACCAGGTTGAAGAGGCTGAAGAAGATTCCCAGAGCCTGCAAACAAGACATGGGTTTTTTTTTTTTTTTTTTTTTTGGTTGTTGTTGTTGAGATGGAGTCTCACTGTGTCACCCAGGCTGGAGTGCAGTGGCGTGATCTCAGCTCACTGCAACCTCCACCTCCTGGTTTCAAGTGATTCTCGTGCCTCAGCCTCCTGAGTAGCTGGGATTACAGGTGCCCGCCACCATGCCTGGCTAATTGTTGTATTTTTTAGTAAGGACAGAGTTTCACCATGTTGGTCAGGCTGGTTTTGAACTCCTGACCTCAGGTGATCCACCAGCCTTGGCCTCTTAAAATGTTGGGATTACAGGCGTGAGCCACCGTGCCCAGCCAAAAATAGGGTTTTATTAGGGGCTTGCATACAAGGGAAAGAGTCCAGTGGTGGTGGGCTGGACAGAAGAACCACTTTATATATAGAAAAGGGGCATTGGCAGGAGGCTGGACAACATATCTGTCTTTCTACAGTCCAGTGGTGGCAGGCAGGGCAGGAAAATCACAACTGCCTACAAACATGTAGTTTACATAGCATTGTCACTTGACGTCTTCCCCCTAATGACTTCCACCTGGCAACCTTCATTTAACCCAAAACTCAGGGCCTCAATCCCCTGTACATCCCATGTTACATGATGGGCGGTGCTCACATGTTTATCATAGATAAAGAACAAATCACTGGGTTGGGCACTTGGGGACTCCTTAACTCAGAACACACATTTAGGTGTGTCTGCCATACAGGGTCATTCTCAGAATGTGCTTAGGTTATTGCTATCAGCTGAGTTTACAGAGGCTGAGGTGCAAGGATCACTTGAGGTCGGGAGTTCGAGAGCAGCCTGGGCAACATAGTGAAACTATGCCACCCTCCCCATCTCTACAAAAAATATCTTTCAAAACAAAAAGTAACTTTTCCCCCCAGGGATAATTTTTCTATTTCTAAAGTGGAACTGATGTGCATATGCATATCAATATATATTTTAGTATTTGCTTTATGAGAAAAATCGAATTTCTTTTAAAAAGACTTTCTGGATCCCCTGATATAGCTATCATAGTGCCATGCTTTGTGCTCAGTTACCTAGACTTAACATGGATTGAAATCCTGTGTGAAGCTATGGAGAGTCACTAAAGTGACCTAGAAGAAACCACAGTCTAGTAGGATGGAGAAGTCATGTTAATATATAGCTATTAAAAAGCTGGAAGCTGATAGGTGTAGAACAGGTGTAGTTACAAAGTCTCATAGGAGGGAGAGTCTATGTATAGTTTAGAAGAGTGATCCTCCCGCTTTGGCTTCCCAAAGTGCTGGGATCACAGGCATAAGCCAACGTGCCTACCTGTAATTGAATTTTCAAGTGAAAAACCTGACTATATTGCCTGCCTAATCTAAGATGTGTCATATTATGAAATTTTAACAAGCTCTCTTTCAGTGTTTAATAAAATTAAAACCCTGGAAGTGATCACTTATTAAATGAACACCAAGGCAAGGAGCTGGTCTGGCAAAACAGAAATGTGTAAGGCAGAAACCTAAACTTGAGAAGCTTACAGTCAAGTGAAGGATGATAAACCAACTGCCAGTGATAGGGTAGGTGCTTGAATGATGGAAGGAAAATGTGGCTAAAGGTAATAATGGTGTCCCAAGAGAGCTCGGAGCATGAGCCTGGCTTGTCTTGATTATTTTCTAACTTACTACTGCTTACACTATGAATCTTTTCAGTGACACAATGTAAAAGAAGTGCTGAAATTGGTATTTATGCTGAGTGTTCCCCCTGTTTCTTATGGGTGACAGTGCTTTTGGACTAGTTGATCAAGGATTTTTATCTTGCCAAATGTCCCCAAACTTGTTGAGATTTAATGTCACCTCACCTGAATTCTCTGTGCATGATGTGCTTTTGGGCTGTGTGGGTGTGGTTTAAATGACAGCTCAGCTGGAAACTGTGCAGAACTTCAACGTGCTAATAATCTCTTTCATAACAGTTTTGAACTGGAATATTTACTATTGTCAGGTGAATTTAACTTTAAAACATCAGTAAATAATGATTGTCCAGAAATTATGATGATGCGTATTTCTTCATGCACATTAGTAACTTCACTAACCACAATTTTTAGCTGATTTGCTAGGATTTTTCTTTAAACATATGGAGGCAAAAGGTTTTAAGAATAGTGTCAGGGGCATTATTTAATCAGTGTTAGTTCTGACAGGTGAACAACCTGAGTTGGTCTCTGCAGATAGTACCTATGAAACATTAAGGTCAGATTGATTCAGCTACCTGGTGTGTAAGATAATGCCCAATTTATAGTTTCCTTTTTATTTTTTCTGGTACTTCTACAAATATAACCCTGAGCATAGAAATACCCTCATTATTTTAATGGGACATCCTATTTCTACCATGCAATTTGAGCTTGATCTGAGACATTTCTGTGAAGTGTGAAAGTACAGTTAATCATTCTTAAATGTTCTTTTTATGCACAATTGCTTCTTTTAAAATAGCATTTTAAAATAGCATATATTTACTTTTTTTTTTTTTTTTTTTGAGACAGAGTCTTGCTCTGTCACTCAGGCGGGAATGCAATGGTGCGATCTCGGCTCACTGCAACCTCCGCCTCCCAGGTTCAAGCAGTTCTCCCGCCTCAGCCTCCCGAGTAGCTGGGATTACAGGCCCCCGCCATGATGCCCGGCTAATTTTTTTTTGTATTTTTGTAGGGATGGGGTTTCACCATGTTGGCCAGGCTGGTCTCAAACTCCTGACCTCAGGTTATCCACCCGCCTTGGCCTTCTAAAGTGCTGGGATTACAGGGGTGAGCCACTGCACCCAGCCATATTTACTTTTCTAAAGAAAATATGTAACACTGCAAATGTGTGTCATCCTTCTGCAGGGGCATGCTAGTCCTCTCTGAACTGTTATGGTTTTAGTGTATGTGCTGCTGAAGTGAGCACCATATATTTACTTTTGCTGCCAAATGAAATTATGTGGGAACTGTCTACCACTTCTCTTTCATTTTATGTTTATATAGAATGAAGAAATGTAATTGAATTTATTTTCGTTTTTTACTTTTTATTTTTTTCTTACAGACAAGGTCTTGCTCTGTCACCCAGGCAGGGATGCAGTGGTGTGATCACAGCTCACTGCAACCTTGAACTTCTGGGCTCAAGGGATCCTCCTGCCTCAGCCTTTTGAGTAGCTGGGACTACAGGCGCGTGCCACCATGCCTGGCTATATTTTTCTTTTTTTATTTTTTAGGAGAGACAAAGTCTTGCTATGTTGCCCAGGCTGGTCTCAAACTCCTGGGCTCAAGTGATCCTCTTGCTTTGGCTTCCCAAAGTGCTGGGATCACAGGCATAAGCCACCGTGCCTACCTGTAATTGAATTTTCAAGTGAAAAACCTGACTATATCGCCTGCCTAATCTAAGGTGTGTCATATTGTGAAATTTTAACAAGCTCTCTTTCAGTGTTTAATAAAATTAAAACCCTGGACGTCATCACATATTAAATATTAAGGAGCTGGTCTGGCAAAACAGAAATGTGTAAGGCAGATACCTAATCTTGAGAAGCTTACAGTCAAGTGAGGGATGATAAACCAACTGCCAGCGATAAGGTGGGCACTTGAATGATGGAAGGAGAATTATGATAGAGGCATCTGTGGATTGCTGCAAGAGCCTTGGAAAGAACATCTAAAGTGGACCTGGGCACTGGGGAAACGTATCTAATCTGAGATGTCAAGGTTGAGTGCCTATAGTAAAAATATCTATTGAGCATATAGTGAGCATTTACTCTGTGGCAGATACTGTGCTATGTGCTTTGTGTTCAATTAGTTTAGCCCATGGTAATACAATCAGGCAGGTGTTCTTTATGTGACAAAGGAGGAGACCGAAATGCAAAGAAAAGTGACTTGCTTAAGATGACACCGTTTATACGAGGTGGAGCCTGAATTCGATTCCAGCCTGTGTTACTCCTGAACTCAAGAGTTTAGATTTGTGCTAGATTTCCTTATAATAGAAACCAGAGAAGAGAAGGGTGAAAGGGGCATTCCAGCCAGAAGCAGCAGTATGTGAAAGTTCTGTGGGAGAGGATGGTGTAGCTGAGGAACTACAAGTGGTTTAGACTGGCTGGAGCTTAAAGTTCAAAGGTCAGAGAGGGAGGCAGAAGGGAAGCACCAGTCAGGTGAGGAAGAGCTCTGTGGAGGAGAAAGGAGCAACTGACAGTCTTCTAGCAGAGAAGTCACATGCTCAAAACTGTGTTTTAGAATAGTCCTTCTCAGTGGCAGTGTAGACACTGGAATGTAAGAAAGCAAAAGTAGGCCAGGCGTGGTCGCTTACAACTGTAATCCCAGCACTTTGGGAGGCTGAGGCAGGCGGATCACAAGGTCACGAGTTTGAGACCAGCCTGGCCGGTATGGTGAAACCCAGTCTCTACTAAAAATACAAAAAAAAAAAAAAAAAAAAACTAGCTGGGCATGGTGGCACGCGTCTGTAGTCCCAGCTACTCGGGAGGCTGAGGCAGGAGAATCCCTTGAATCTGGGAGGTGGAGGTTGCAGTCAGCCAAGATTGCACCACTGCACTCCAGCCTGGGCAATAGAGGGAGACTCCGTCTTTAAAAAAAAAAAAAAAAAGGCAAAAGACCATCTAGGAAGCACTAATCCAGGTGAGAGCATGAACTAACAAAGTGGGACTGATTTGGAGGAAAGCTGATCAGAGTTGCTGTTGGAGGGGAGAGTATGGAGCATCGGAGAGGAAGGAGTCAAAGATGACTCCTGGGACAGATTCTGGAATAGCTGGGTGAATGGGGACCATGACCCTGATTTGGGAGCAAGAGCAGATCTGAGGGTGAAGATATAGAGTTTGGGACCCTGTTTTGAAGTGTCAGTGGACTAGTCCAAGGATGGCTGATCATAAACAGCTGCATATACAGATCCAGAGCTCAGGAGACAGAGCTGGGCTGGTGATATGGATTTGGGAGTAGTCAGCAAATGGATAGTGGCAGAAGTAGTTGAAATGAATGTGTTTGGAGTGACAGTAAGATCTGGAGGATTTTACCAAGGGTGCCCCTCAGGGACACCAGTGGCAAGTGGAAAAAGAGGCTATCCCTGAGAGAAATGAGACCTTAACATAACTTTTTAGTATACCTCATATTTATAAAGTACTCTAGATTTTATGAAGGTTTTTACTAATATCACCTCATTTCATTTTTTTTTCAATAAATAACTGGTTGCCATTGTTATTTCCATTTGTCAGCTAAGGGAACTTGAGGTTCAGAAAGGCTCAAGGACACCATCAAGATCGTATGATCAGGGCCAGGCACGGTGGCTCACACATGTAATCCCAAGGCAGGAGACCCCTTGAGGCCAGGAGTTCAAGACCAGCCTTGGCAACAAAGTAAGACTGTCTCTACAAAACATAGTTAGCCAGATGTGGTGGCACATGATCTCAGCTACTGGGGAGACTGAGGATCTCTTGAGCCTAGGAGGTGAAGGCTGTATGATCACACCACTACACTCTAGCCTGGGTGACAGAGCAAGACCCTGTCTCTTAAAAAAATTTTTTAAATTTAAACATGTGATCAGTTATGCTGGCGAAATGGGAACTGCAATAGAAATTCATGGACTCTTAGTTTCATGCCCTCCCTGCTGGGCTATGCTGTGAGGACACTCATGATAACTTAGTCACTAGTGAATTTTTTGTCCTGATTTTTTTTTTGAGCTCCCACAATTAATCTATATCAGTGCTTCTTCTTATTTTTTGTGTCATAGAAACAATTACATTTGTATAGTATACTGGGGATTCTGGAAGCAATTTTGGGGAAATCTGTATGAGCTTGAATAACAGAATTCACAAGATTTATAAAGAGTTACACAAATGGTTCTCAAATAGAATGCCAACTCTGATGCCAATTATTCAACTCTGTATAGTTATACAAAATGGCTTTAAGTTTTTACCTCTATAAAATATTTAAACATTGATAGCTAGTGCCCCATCTGTAATCCATTTGTAGAATACCTATTGGGAAGCTCACCTTTCTCCAGTTTGTAACTTTTAAAATATATGTCTGTTATCATTGTTATTAAACACAGATAGATAGTCCCCAAGTTACATGTATTTAGGTAGCCGTATAATTTATTGTCCAAACCAGGACATTTTTGAGAGTAGCAGGGACTGCTATTAATAATCATGCTAGGTCAACAGTGTTTTTTTCTTTGTTTTGAGACAGGGTGTCTGTGGCGCAGGCTGGAATGCAGTGGTATGATCGTGGTTCACTGCAACCTCTGCCTCCCCAGGTTCAAGCAATCTTCCCACCTCAGCCTCCCAAGTAGCTGGGACCACAGGCATACACCACCATGCCCAGCTGATTTTTGTATTTTTTGTAGAGATGAGGTCTCCCTATATTGCCAGGGTGGGTCTTAAACTCCTGGGCTCAAGTGATTCTCTTGTCTCAGCCTCCCAAAGTGCTGGGATTGCAGGTATGAGGCACCATGCCTAGCTCAGTGCAATGGTTTTAAACCAGAGTGATTCTCAGTCAAACCTGGACGGATGCTCAGGCTGCATTTATTTGACTTGCACACATTTGGCCTAATCAAGTCAAGGCTGTGAAATGATCCCTCGTTCCCAGTCCTGAGTGCTCCAATCTGACTGTTAATCCTCCAGTTACCACTCCTCCACCCCACCCGCACTTCCTATCCCCTGTAGAATAAAAGTGCTAAGTTCCTTGGCTGGCACTTGGTGCTTGCTACAACCTGGCACCATTTTGCTGACTGCAGCCTCACTGTGTCATGGATGACAGTTCAGCTCGTGAATCTGCTTACGCTTCTCCTGTTGTCCCCTCTGTCCCAGATGCCCTCCCACCCTTTTACTTTGGGCAATATCCCACGCATCGTTCAATACCAACTCAGAAATCATCTCTTTTGAGAACTTCCCCGTCTCTTTCCCTCTCACTGCCCTTCCTTGGCCTTAATTTCTCTCTCAACACTCTGCTAGCGTTTTGGTTTTCTTTTATGGCCCTTAGATGTTGCTTATGTTGCTACTTATGTACAGGCTCCCCACCAAATCATAAATTTTCTCTCCTATCATTGACATAATTTTCCTCTTACTGCTTTAGGACTTTTATTTTTGTTTGAAGACCATTCACGATAGAGAGACTAAAGAGAAATTAGGAATTCATGGTTCTGCTTCCATTATCACTGTGTTACCGCGTCTGTCGCAAGGGGCAGGCCCTGTGCTTCCACGTGCTTCTGACTCTGAATGTAGCCAAAAATGGTTTTGTGTTGTCCTTCACAACTGTGTTTTGCAAGCCTCGCTGTTTTCTGGGTTTCTAACTTCCTCATGTTTTAATAGATTTATGCTTGTTTTCAAATTTGTCATGAATTATGTGTCTGTTTCTGACTAAATGTTAATTATAGGACATCTCCTTAAAAGAACACTGGTGATTTTCCACATTTGATAGTCATCTGCCTTTTCTTTTTCCCCTTGAATAGGATAGTTGATAAATACCCCATGAGAGATTGAGAGACCCTTTTCAGAGCTGCCTGTCCCATAATGTTGTCCCTGCCCTGAGACTCAAACTATCTTTCTTTGAAAACTTTGAAATCTACTTTTTAAAAAGTGGAAGATGTGTATCTCACTGTTTCTGGTATATGCATCATTTCCAAGGTAAAGTCACTTTGTCCCAAGGTTTCAGTCACTTCCATTTCACTGAACACAGTTCTTCCTTGTTTGTGAGAGGCAGGGCCAGACAGCAATTATCCGGGCTTCCTGAACTTTCTTAGCAAAGCAAGTCAATTCTGCTTTTAGAGGCCGGGTGCAGTGGCTCACACCTGTAATCCCAGCACTTTGAGAGGCTGAGGCAGGCATATCACCTGAGATCAGGAGTTTGAGACCAGCCTGGCTAACACGGTGAAACCCCATCTCTACTAAAAATACAAAAATTAGCCGGGCATGGTGGCGGGTGCCTGTAATCCCAGCTACTTGGAAGGCTGAGGCAGGAGAGTCGCTTGAACCCAGGAGGCAGAGCTTGCAGTGAGCTGAGATCACGCCACTGTACTCCAACCTGGGTGACAAAGTGAGACTCCGTCTCAAAAAAAAAAAAAAAAAAAAAAAATTCTGCTTTTAGAAAGTGATCAGCTTTTAACAATAAGATTGCTGGCAGATATCTGCATAATAATAGATGCATTTGCAGAATTACAAACACAACCACTTTATAAAATAGTAGTTAATGCTCTCATTTTATAGGAAAGGAAATAGAGGCTCAACAAAGTTAAGTAACTTCTTCACAGACATGGGCCTGCTTAGTGAAGTTGGCTGTGAACAAGGTCTGCTGGACCCCATTGCCCTTTGAACTACATTCAACAGTCTCCTGTTATGGTTGTTCAATCTTCTGTCTTCCCCTTCTCCCTCCTCTCCCTCCACGCTCAGCTCTTTTGTGGCTAGTTGTATGATCCACATTAAGAATGCATCACATTGGGAAAAAGTGTATTATGTATTTACAAATTTTAGTCCTGGAGGATGCTAATACAGTTTAAAAAAAAAAAACTTGAGACAAAATAAGTTTAACAGTTTATTTGAGCCAAGAGAGCTGCACTCTGCAGGGTGAACAGCAAGATTCTATAGATGAAACACCCAAGAGAGGTAGAGAAATTACTTGATTGGCTACAGCTAGGCATTTTGGCTTATTTGGGTATGATCCAGTGGCTAGAGGTTAGTTAGTGGTTTCTGATAGGTTAAGCTTAAGTTTTATTTTACTGTTTATGTTGAATTGGGTTTTGGCCTGCTTACCTGGGGGCTATAGCTACAGTGACAACCTCAGGCTAATGGCCTCAGTATTTGCTTTAAAGATATATATTGGCCGGGTGCTGTGGCTCACGCCCGTTACCCTAGCACTTTGGGAGGCCAAGACCGGTGGATTGCCTGAGCTCAGGAGTTTGAGACCAGCCTGGGCAACATGGTAAAACCCCATCTATACTTCAAAAAAAAAAAAAAATTAGCTGGGCATGGTGGGGCGCACCTGTAGTCCAGCTACTCAGGAGGCTGAGGCATGAGAATCGCTTGAACCCAGGAGGCAGAGGTTGCAGTGAGCCAAGATCACGCCATTGTACTCCAGCCTGGACGACAGAGTGAGACTCTCTGTCAAAAAAAGAAAAAAGATATATATTACCCATTGAATAGGGCTCTATGGTTAAATAAGCTAAGTTTAACAGAGTTAATCAGGATTTCTTTTTTAACTGTAAAACCTTTGAGAACTCTCTGCTAATATGTATTTTGAATCTTAAAGAGAGTGTACAATGAATCCCAAATTTAATTGACTATAGATCTCTTATTTCACAAAACACCTCATGAAACTGATGGTATATTTACCAAACATTGGGGAACATTTTCATAGTGTTTACGAGCATGGACTTTGGGATCGAGGAGACTTGTGTTCAAATCCCGGCTTTGAGCTATCCTAGCTGTGTGACCTTGAACAGAGGACATAACCCAAGGGTTTGTTTACTGATCTAGCAAGTGATTAAAATGCTCCATCTGGAAAGTTATGAAGATTGCACAATATGTGAATAAAGGTTTATTGTTCATTGTTATCATCATCAAACATTAGTTAAATATGTAAAGCACTTGGAGCAATACCTGGCACACGAGAAATATATTTAGTCCAAATCTGATTTTTGTCAGTTGTCTACACTAAACTACAAAGGTAATTTTTTTTTTCTTTTATCGTCACCATTATTCTTGCCAATCTGCTATTGCTCTCAGGTTTGCGGATTTCTATACAGGTGTAGATCTTCTTAACATGGGCTGCTGTTGGTTATGGCTATTAGGTTTAAATCCTGACTTTAGCACCTGTGACTAGTTGGGCAAGTTATTTAACATCTGTGTTAGTTTCTTATCTGTGAACATGAAGATAATGACAGTACCTCCTTCAAGGCTTATAAGGATTAAATGTAATTGTGTATATGAGTTTCTTAACCCAGTGCTTGGCATATAACAAGAACTCAAAACCTCTTCCTAAAGTTAAAGTTTTAGGGTCCGTAGATTTAGTTTGCTGATGTTCTAACTGGATATATGAATCATCATTATCATAGCTAGCTCATTTTTCTTTTTCTTTTTCTTTTTTATTTATTTATTTATTTTTTTGAGACAGAGGCTCACTCTGTCACCCAGGCTGGAGTGCAGTGGTGCCATCTCAGCTCATTGCAACCTCTGCCTCCTAGGTTCAAGCGATTCTCCTGCCTCAGCCTCCCAAGTAGCTGAGATTACAGGTGTGCTCCACCATGCTCAGCTAATTTTTGTATTTTCAGTAGAGACAGCATTTCACCATTTTGGCCAGGCTGGTCTCAAACTCCTGACCTCAAATGATCCACCCACCTCGGCCTCCCAAAGTGCTGGGACTACAGACGTGAGCCACCGCACCCAGCTGCTAGCTTGTTTTTCTAACCACGATTTGAATACATTAACCCAATATTTATACCAACCTTGTTACATAAGTACTATTGTTGTTATATTATAAATGAGGAAATTGAGGCACAAAGAGGTTAATTAAATATCTGCCCAAGTCACATACCCCATAAGTGGCAGAGTCAAAATTCTACTCCAGGTAATCTGTCTGGAGGTAGTGCTCCAAAAGCTAGAGAAATCGTCTCTTAGTCACTGTCTTATATCAAGGAGCTCCACTGGGCTTTGCCAAGGTATTGTTCATTTTAGAATTTTGTGTCAACTGTGAAGAGTTCCTTAGGCTGTAGGTACCTTAGGCAAAGTTGTTGAAATGACATTTTGTTAAATTAAAGTGCTTTACTTGAATTCTAGTCCTAATGGCAGGTGACCTTGCCTCAATGTGAAGGTAGTGAAGAAGTACTTACAAGCAGGGTTGATATTTTCCTCAACAAAGGGCTTTAGATTTGCTCAAATGATTGACAACTCTGGGGCTTAGAGATCTGGCCTATGAGTATGGAAAAGATGACTTTGACTTCTGAAGTTATGAAACATAGGTGTCTTCAGTTGACCACCATAATTGAGGAAATATACCATGTCCTCTCTATCATGTTAGTTGAGCAATTATTATGTGCTAGTACTTGGATATAGCAATTCACAAGACGAACAGCACTTGGTCCTCCTGGAGCTAAAATCCAGGCTAAAAACATGAGATGAATAAGTAAAGGAAATATAGGAAATAGGGAGAAATTTGTTGGCAGGTCAGTGATAATGGAAACCCTGGAAATCCATGAAATCCCCTGAATGAAGAATAGTGTTAGAGCTGCCAAGAAGAGGTGGAGCCTCAGAGGAAGCAGAAGTTGGGAAAACAAGAAAAAATGGGAAGAAGGCATCAGAGAAGCCCAGACGGAGTACTGCCAGCAGGGTGGGGCTGCTATGATGAACTGTCCTGAGAAGCCGAGGAACCTGAGGACTGCAATGGGCCTGTCAGGGCCCCACAAGTGCACTCCAGGCACCTGTGCCTTTCCATTCAAAGTCTCAACCCGTAACCTGTCTGTTGGAGTGATGTCAAGGATGTCCTCCAAAACTGATGTTTTGACTTTGGCAATGTTGATATTGAGCCATCATTTCTGACAAGAAATAGTCAAAATATAGTTTATAGGTTGTGATTAAAATTCAAGGTGGAGGTTACCGATGGAAATTACTGATGTACTAAATAGTAAAATACACACATACACACACACACACACACACAGACACACACACACACATATATATAACTCTTTCCCCAAATAACTAAATTAATGTCAGTTGGTTCATCAATGTGGAAACATATTTTACAGTCTGGACTCTTCACAGGCTTAGTAGCCTTTTCTGTCTGTCTCAAAAGGTTCTCATCAGATTAATAGTAAATTTAGTCCATTTTAGATTAAATCCTATTAGTTCTATAGTTGTATAACATTTAAATACAGGCCTGGCATTGTGGCTCATGCTTGGGGAGGATGAGGCAGGAAGTTTGCTTGAGCCCAGGAGTTTGAGATCATCCTGGCCAATGTGGTGAGACCCGTCTCTACAAAAAATTTAAAAAGTTGGCTGGGTGTGGTGGCACGTGCCTATAGTCCTAGCTACTCAGGAGGCTGAGGTGGGAGGATCATTTGAATGCAGGAGCTTGAGGCTGTGGTGTACTATGATTGGGCCACTGCACCAGCCTGGGTGACAGTGAGACCCTGTCTCAAAAAAATAAAAAATTTAAAAATTAAATACACATACTATACTTTTGTTAAGGACAGTGGGTCAGTATTTTACAGGATACTCCATGTGCCACATTTGGTTCTTGGCAGCCACAGAGGTTTCTACTGACCAAAACCAATAACGTGTCAGTCATATTTCCTCACATAGCTAATTAAAATTGCACAATTCTGAATTGTTCAATTAAATGAAGCTTAATACATGGATGAAAAGAAAAATAGTATTATTGGTTACGTCTACAGAAGGAACCTCTTTGGTAGTGATGTTCAATTACTCTAAAAACATTAACATGGTTTCTGTCTCTCTCAAAGCATATTTCGAGAGCAAATAATAGAATTTAAGTGCTTTAAAGAGTTGGACTTTCATTTGGGTATTATGAGTGGTTAAATATCTTTATCTCATCCCCAACTCTAACCACCCCCTCCCATTTTTTTTTTTTTTCATATTCAGGCTTTAGAAGATTGGCAAGCAATCATGGGTAGCATGTTAAAATTTGACACACCTGTAATCCTTAAAGTTGCTGAAATACAGATTGGTCCTTGTGGCTTTGTGTGCACACGGTTTGCTTTCAGGGTCTTTTTATAGATGTTGAAGTTATACTTAAACATATAGTCTTATATTTTGTTATAGCTCTTCTTCTTTCTGTTTATGGAGGAAAATGATGCATTATTCATTTTTAAAGCGCCAGCATATTTTCAGCAGACATTTATTGGCTACCCAGAATGTGTCAGACACTGCAGAGTCCTGGAGCTTCTCATACTCTGAAAAACCAAGATGTAGACAATCCCAAACAAATATGCTGAGGGCTTCAGTTTGTGGTACAAAGTGGGTCCTACGGGAGCCAGGTTGGAGGAAGCCCCTGTAAGTCTGAGGAACTCAGAGGAACCCAGAGGAAGTGCTGGCTGAGCTGGGTCTGAATGGATGAGAAGTAGCACTCTTTCAATAGGAAGAACATTCCAGGAAGTGAAAACAGCAAGAGTCTGAGGTGAAAGAGCATGGCAGACACAGGAAGCTACTGCTCTGGAGTTTCTGAAAGTATCAAAGTTTGAAGGAAATCTTTACATGACTGAACCATGGGTGGGACTAGCCCACCTTGTGTTGTTAGATCTATTACACTGCTTTAATTTTGGTCACTTTTAATAAGCTAATAATAGGATGATGAAAGCACACAACCAACATCAAGAGTAAGTATTACTTGATGAAATAAACTTGAAACTACTTACTAAAAATATTCTAGGCCAGGCACGGTGGCTCACACCTGTAATCCTAGCACTCTAGGAGGCTGAGGCAAGTGGGTCACTTGAGCCCAGGAGTTTGAGACCAGCCTGGGCAACATAGTGCAACCCCATCTCTACAAAAAAATTAAAAAAAAAAAATTAGCCAGGTGTGGTGACATGCACCTGTGGTCCCAGCTACTTGCAAGGCTGAAGTGGGAGAATCACTTGAGCCCAGGAAATTGAGGCTACAGTGAGCCTGTGATCCTGCCACAGCCCTCTAGCTTGGGCAACAGAGCCAGACCCTGTCTCAAAATAAAAGTAAAGAGAGAAAGAAAAATAAAAATATTCCATTACGAACCTTACAGTAGCATTTAACTCCTGGTGGCCAAATATATAATTTGATTGAAAACAATGAGGTTTTTCTTCTGTTTGGTTTTAGTAGCTTTTTGTCTTTAATAGAAACTTCTTTAAGTCTGTCTTTCTTGCTGTATCCCTAATGTATTACTTCAGACGGTCATTCTTTGTTTAAAGTTTGAAACAAACACTGCAGTTGTTGGCAGCTATGATGCCTTATTGGAGACAAAGGCTTCTTGAATGTTTGTCAAAAGGGGTGGATCTATGCTTAGAGAAGGTGACCTCTTGTTTTGACTACCCAGTCTGGTTTCCCTCTCACCTTCTCTCACTACACCCTGTTCTTTCTTTCTTTCTTTCTTTCTTTTTTTTTTTTTTTTTTTTTTGAGACGGAGTCTTGCTCTGTCGCCCAGGCTGGAGTGCAGTGGCACGATCTCGGCTCACTGCAAGCTCCGCCTCCCGGGTTCACACCATTCTCCTGCCTCAGCCTCCCGAGTAGATGAGACTACAGGTGCTGCCACCACGCCCGGCTAATTTTTGTATTTTTAGTAGAGATGGAGTTTCACCATGTTAGCCAGGATGGTCTCGATCTCCTGACCTCATGATCCGCCTGCCTCAGCCTCCCCAAGTGCTGGGATTACAGGCGTGAGCCACCGCGCCCGGCCAGCACCCTGTTCTTTCTTTACCCTCATTTGCCAGTTCTTCCTGTCACTGGATTTGTTTAATTACTCCTAAGTAATTCCATCTCCACTGCCTGGCTGAAAGCTCTGGAGGGGAGGGGCTTGTCTGTGGACTTCCCCACTGTGTGCACAACTCCTAAAAGTACCTGGCACAAAGTAAACACTCACATATTTGCTGAGTGAGTGAATAGATTGATGAGTGACCGAAAGTCACTCATATTCACAATTATATTGAATACAAATTATGTAAGAGGTGTATGCTAAACCTAGGGGAACAAAAATGAAGGAGAGATCTAGAAGCTCATAATGATAATGCAACAAGTTTTAAAAGTAAAAGCTTAAACTAGAGAGCACAAAGGCAGGAGTGATGGTCTGAGGGATGAGTTGGATAGGGCACCATAGAGGAAGGGATGTCTGACATGGATACTGAAGGATGGACTGGGGTTTGGTCATGAGGGGAAGCAGAAGAAATTTCAGTAACAAATGGAATCCTACAGTCCAGCCCGCTCTATGTTTGGAGAAAGTATCTACTGCCCAGACAAGACAGACAAGTTGTGTAAGCAAAGTGTGTACAAAGAAGCAAAATATAGGAATATGAGTAGGTAAAGGGTGTTTGGGCAGTGTGTGGATGTCAGGGAGTAGACAATGTTTAAGTTACATAATCCCTGGATGTCATAGCTGCTTTAAAAATTTCCCCACAGAAGCATAATTTCTTTAGCAAATTAGAACTGAATTATTTTATTATAAAAGGTAGATAATCATGCTATAGAAATTTTGGAAAATAGAAAAAAAAATTACCTATAATCTCACCTTAACACAACCACTGTTTCTTTTTGTGTATGTTTTGTTTTTGTTAGGTTGAATATGCACTATTAACATTAGAATTCTAACAGAAGGATTTGTCAAATTACTGCATATTATTTCCATCTTTTGTAATGGATGCATTAGAGCTTGTGTCATTTTTAAACCTAACTATTCTCCTATTACCAAAAATTTAGACTGTTTAGTTACTTGCCACCATAAATAATGTTACAGTGGACATATTGTATAATCTGTTTCTTAGGATTTCCCTCAGAAGATTCCTAAAAAGTAGAACTACTAGATCAAAGGCTGTAAATATTTTTGCAGGTCCTATTACATATTTCCAAGTTATTTTCCAATTTATATGGCTAATAGCAATGTGCAAGAATGTTGATTTTGCTACACACTTTTCCAGAACAATTGTAATCGATTTTTTTAACTTGTTACTTCAGTGGCTTAAATGGTTACCTTGTTTAATTGGAATCTCTTTGAAAAGAGTTGACATTAAAATTCTTGTTCATTCCTTCAATGAATATTTATTGCATATCACTTTGCACCAGCACTATTCTGGGGAAAGAGCAGTAAGCAAGCATAATTCCTGCGTTCATACTCTGTATTCTTAAAGAAATGTTCATTTAAAAAAATGCTTGGCTGGGTGCGGTGGCTCACGCTTGTAATCCCAGCACTTTGGGAGGCCGAGGCGGGTGGATCACGAGGTGAGGAGATTGAGACCATCCTGGCTAACATGGTGAAACCCCGTCTCTACTAAAAATACAAAAAATTAGCCGGGCATGGTGGCGGGCGCCTGTAGTCCCAGCTACTTGGGAGGCTGAGGCAGGAGAATGGCGTGAACCCGGGAGGCGGAGTTTGCAGTGAGCCGAGATCGTGCCACTGCACTCCAGCCTGGGCGACAGAGTGAGACTCCGTCTCAAAAAAAAAAAATAAATAAATAAAATAATAAAAAATAAAAAATAAAAAAATGCTTGAGGGGTTAAACATTTTCCCCCACCTCATACAGCTGGCAAGTGGCTACAAAGAGATTATAAAATGGTCTATTTTACTCTCAGTCTTTCCAATTTTACTATACTACCCTGAGAAGGGAAATACAGGGGCTTTTTTTTTTATTTTGAGATGGAGTTTGGCTCTGTCACCCAGGCTGTCACTCCAGGCTGGAGTGCAGTGGTACAATCTCAGCTCATTGCAATCTCCGCCTCCTGGCGCTCAGGTGGTCTACCCGACTCGGCCTCCCAAGTAGCTGGGATTACAGGCTCGTGCCATCACGCCTGGCTAATTTTGAAATACAAGGGCCAGGTGTGGTGGCTCATGCCTGTAATCCCAGCACTTTGGGAGGCCGAGTCGGGTAGATCACCTGAGGTCAGGAGTTTGAGACCACCCTGGCCAATATGGTAAAACCCTGTCTCTACTAAAACTACAAAAATTAGGCGGGCGCTTGTAGTCCCAGCTACTTGGGAGGCTGAGGCAGGAGAATTGCCTCAACCCGGGAGGCGGAGGTTGCGGTGAGCTGAGATCACGCCATTGCAGTCCAGCCTGGGCAACAAGAGCGAAGCTCCATCCCAAAAAAAAAAAAAAAAAAAAAAAAGTTACTCCAAGTCATTTCATGAGGTACATGTGAATATCGGTCTTATTGCTTTATAGTCTTGCTTGTTATGAACAAAATGAAATCCTCAGCTTTACTACAACTTATTACCTAGAAGAACTTTGGCTTTTCCAGAAATCAAATTCAGCTTCAGGCAAGGAGCATTTGTCCCCGCTAAGGGTAGTCAAGGAGTAAACCAAAGTCTCTGAAAACAGTTCTGCTGTTTAGAACAAAACAAAAGTTTAGTCAGTGGTAGCCACATTAGATCGCATATGTGAATTCCCAACTCATTTGCAAAGGTGAAGACATTTACGTGCTCTGAAAGTTGCTTTGGTTTTTCAGTTTATGTGAGGATTGTCAGCTTCCACCCCTGCTTGGGTTGTAGAATCCTGCATGTCCAGAGCGTCTGTAAGTTACCACCAAGAGTTTAACCTGTCAGCCCCAAGGACAAGGGCCAACACCTTGTAGCATTGCCTGTGACCCTTAGCACAGTACTGGACACCTATCGTAACACTGTTATAAATAGCCTACTTCCTGGTATTTGAGTGTAGATAGTGCTATCCTGGTGAAGGGTGAGGAGGACAGCATTTAGGCCACTTGGACTTTCTTTCATATAAAGATATTAAAAATACATATCTTATATAAATATGATATCATCTCATCTATTTTCCTTTAATCTTCTAACTCCAACCCAGTAATGATCTCAGAAAAATTAATCCTTCCATTTCTTTTGTTATTTCCCCCAAGAGTGACCATAATTACCTCTGACAAGACTATACTCAAATCAAGGAAAATAAAATCTGTTTTGAAGGGAAAAGAAATCTTAAAAAGAAACAAGTGCGTCAGCTTGAGAAGATCCAATAAATTCCTTTAGAGTCTCCGTAATCTCCATGTCCATTTTCTTTTTTTTTTTTTTTTTTTTTTGAGGTGGAGTTTCGCTCTTGTTGCCTAGGCTGGAGTGCAGTGACGTGATCTCGGCTCACTGCAACCTCCGCCTCCCAGATTCAAGCGATTCTTGTGCCTCAGCCTCCTGACTAGCCAGGATTACAGGCACCCACCACCACGCTAATTTTTGTGTTTTTAGTAGAGACGGGGTTTCACCATGTTGGTCAGGCAGGTCACGAACTCCTGACCTCAGGTGATCCACCTGCCTCAGCCTCCCAAGGTGCTGGGTTTACAGGCGTGAGCCACTGTGCACGGCCTCCATGTCCATTTTCATTGTTCTCTAATTAAACTGTTTCTATGCATTAACATAATTTAAAATTCAAAATAAAACTGAACAATCAAATTTCTAATTTTATGCCTTGGTTCTGTTTGTTGTCCAGGTTAGGGGCTAGAACACTGTCAATTATGCATATTATTGTTTGTATGAAACGATGTGATCAAACTTTCAAACAGCCAGCTTGACAGCCAGAGACTGACCTGCACATGTTATTTTTGGCCCACATTGCATATTAAACATTTTTTAACTCATTGCCAACACCGAAAATTACAGGTATTTCACACAATCTGGGCTTTCTACTTCTCTTGAAAAATTGCCATCTGGCAACACTAGGCCAGCATCTCTGTGTCATGTAATCGCCTGTGGCTGAGCAGCAGCTGCTTTCTGAGGGCATTGTTTCTCTAGTTTACCACAAGACTCCCTACTCCCTGATATTACACCTGTTTTACTCATTTCCATTAGTTGCCCTGGTCCTTGAAGACATGAGTTTATGACCTATATTCTACAGAAAGCTCATTTAATGTTTCATGTAATAAATATTTATTGAATTACTTTCATTTTTACAAGTGTTGCAAATGGTTCCTGTGCTTCAGAGATTCAGAATCTATTTGAGAAGATGAAAGATATTGTGCAGCAAGCAAAAATAATCAGGAACATAAGCCTAGAGACGTTAGGAGGCCGTCAGTACATGGGTGATTTTCAAATGGGCAGTACAAGGCTGTGAACTCCAAGGGGTGAAAACTGAGCCAGGATGGTATTACAAAGGTTCAGATTGAAGCTGTACCTTGAAGAATGGGTCAGAATAGTATCACGCAGGGGCCAAGAGAAGCGGGTGGCATGGGTGATAGAGGAGAAGAAAATAAACCATCAACAAAACCAAGCTGCATGTTTGGGAAGTAGGCCTATTTGGTTGGATTAAAGGAGTACAGGCTATCTCTCATCAGTGAAAGCTTCTGTCACCCACCCTTTAATTCTCACCATTATTGTCCGTTAACTGTACAGTTGTTCAGGAGATGCCCAAACAGAAAAGCAGCAAGCTGTTTGCGTAACTTCCAGCCCACTTCTTTTTAGGCAAAGCATGTTTTCCACTTTCTTAAAACTCCTACATGTTAGTCCTTCCTAGCTCTCCCTCCCCCAAGAAAAAATGGGGAAGAGACCTTGATTCCTGGCACATGAAGGCCTCTGGAATCAACTAGGAAAACTTGGTGTGAGAAAGACAATAGGAAAAGTGAGAAAACGGGAAGCTGGTTATGAAGTTAGGAGAAAATGCAAAGGAAGTGCGGAAAGTTTAGCATGTACTACCACATTTCTGGAAGGGCCCAGGATCACCCGCCACTTTTGCATAAAACCTAGGATGCCCATGTGAAGAGCCTTCACCTCAAATCTCCTTCAGGATACTCTGGGCTTATTCCTCTAGTCCCTTGGAACCTCTTAGATCATTGGGATGGCTTTGCATGTCCACATCCCAGTATCGAGCATCACATAGAACTTATGCAAGCAAAATCAGTACAGTCCTATGTCCTATACAATTGGACGTAAGATCAAGCTGAAATAAGAGCAAGCATCCACCCTTCTGTCCCCCACAGAAATACACACTATGTGGACATCTTTTACACTGTGTGAACACTAGTCACTATGTGAATACACTATGTGTAGTACCAGGTGAAGTGTTGGGTATTTGGTGTGCGGAAGACCGGAAAGAACTGGATCCAGCAGAGGAGAAATACTTCAAGAGGATGCTCTGGGCTGGGACTCAGCTGGGTTGGAGCCCTGGCCCCAATATATAGAGCAGGACATTGGTTACTCATGTCAAGGATGGACTCAGTCTTCATCTGTAAAACAAGGGGGCTAGGCAAGGCCTTCCCAAAGCAGTCTCAAGGGATGTGAAGAGTTGTGAAAAGACTAAAGTTTAAGCAGAGTTAAGTAAATTTCTCACCGCCTGCTGGGACTTGTCAGTGTGTTTCAAAAGCTGACGTGCATTGTGAATCTCTGAGAGGAGAATTGCTGGGCAGCAATTTCCTGAGCTGAGTGAATCACAGATCTCAGAACTCTTCAGCCTGCTCTCATTGCAAAGTTGTGTCCTCCATCTGCTGTTCTGTAGAATGTTTGGGAAAGGCTGCTCTGTAGTTTTCCTTCCAGCTCTGACATTCTAAAATTCTAAGTTGGTAAAAAGGCTACAAAAGCCTGGAAAGCCAGAGATGTCAAAGAGAGGTCAGAGATCTGGTTGTCGTACTTGTCTAACAAGGTTGCACGTGGTGAGGATTTAGAATGATGCTCTACTTCTAGGTCTAGGGGAACAGATGGAACAGAAGAGTGGGAGAAAAATCAAAACAAAATAAGTATAAAGTTAAGTCGATGAAGGGGAAGAGAAAAAAAAAGTTAGGGTTGCAGAAGCATTGAGATAAACTGGAACTATTTTCAATCAAGATATAATGAAAGAATCTTGAAGTAGAAACCTGCTGCCCTGATTCTTGTCTGAACGTGTCTGTAACTGGGTGACTCAGAGCTTGTCACTCATCTCTCTGGGCATCAGTTTCCAAGAAGACAGTCTGTATTTGTGGGCCCTTTGGGTTTTAAAATTATACGACTTCATTTGCATCCATTTAAGATTGAAGCCTTAGGGAAGGGATTTATTGAAGAAAGATGTATGAAGAAATGAAGGCTGAGACCTAGACTAGAGAGAATTATTAGGTCAAGAGAAGCCCATTATGAGCCCAGTGAAGATGGGCTCTTTTTTGTTGTTGTTGAGATAGAGTCTCACTCTGTTGCCCAGGCTGGAGTGCAGTGGTGTCCTCACCGCAGCCTCTGCCTCCCAGGCTCAAGCCATCCTCCCATCTCAGCCTCCCAAGTAGCTGGGACCACAGGCATGTACCTGCCACACCCAGCTAGCTTTTTGTATTTTTAGTAGAGATGGGGTTTTACCATGATGCCCAGGCTGGTTTCAAACTTAGCTCTGGCAGTCCACCCGCCTTGGCCTCCCAAAGTGCTAGGATTAAAGTGTAAGCCGCTAGGCCTGGCCCAAAGATGGGTCTTTTTTTTGGGGATGGGAGTGGGGGATGGAGTCTTGCTGAGTCGCCCAGGCTGGAGTGCAGTGGCACAGTCTCGGCTCACTGCAACCTCACCTCCCAGGCTCTTGCAGTTCTCCTGTCTCAGCCTCCCAAGTAGCTGGGATTACAGGCACACACCACCATGCCTGGCTAGTTTTTGCATTTTTAGTAGAAATGAGGTTTCACCATGTTGGCCAGGCTGGTGTCAAACTCCTGACCTTAAGTGATCCGCCCGCCTCTGCCTCCCAAAGTGCTGGGATTACAGGTGTGAGCCATTGCACCCAGCCCAAAAGATGGGTGTTTAATGATACTCTGCTAAACTGTGAATTCCAACTACTAGGATTTCTCTACAGAATTGCACATAGACTAGATGGTGTCCTTTCGATTGGCTCCTTATGTCAGTGTGGCTTAATTTCACAACTAAACTCATCAGACATAGTTATTAACTGTCCTGAGGAATTGATTTACTTGATTGTTTCATCCAGGTTTATGTTGTTTTTTGTAATTATCCAGTGCCTGGATAATTGCACTTTAGTGAGCCATTTCCAATTTTTGTTTGCAGTCTTGTGCCATTTTCTAGGTTAGGTTTTCTTCTTGGGTATTTGCTAAAGTAAAATCAGTTTTAGTAATCTCTTAACTCTAAGACATACTAATGCATGTCTTAGTAAATAGTTTCAGATATTTGGGAAGCACCAGTGTATTTCTTTCTCAAGCACTATATATGTATATTTTTAAAAGTGATTACGGACATTCCTTTATTCCATATTCATTGTTCCACAAGCATGTGTTGAACACACTGTATGCGAGGGGTTGTAAGTGTTAGGGTGAAGCAGTGAACGAATACATAGTTTTCCTCATGACCTACGTGAATGGGTGCCTAGCTTCAAAGAAAGAACAATTGACCATGTAAATAGTCACTCCCTCATTCATTTTTATTTAATAATCTTATTCATTAGAAGTTATAAAGGATGATAAAATGGCAACTTTCAGCAAGGCTTTGCCAGAAAGAAAATATGTTTAGTCACTTTGTTAACTGAATTCATGGTATGAGAGGAGGAAAATGTTTGATAATATTAAGTAACACTACTGTGGTAAATAACCTTATGCTTATATTTCTTTACCAGATCACTGGGTCACAGGCAGTTCAAAACCTACAAAGAAGCTAAGAGTCTTTACATTAGATGTATTCTTCTTGAAAATTCTTAACTGCTATATGCCAGCCTATCAAGCAGTTAAATTTGATTATGCACACCTTTATTTATATTTTACCAAGTCTGATTGATCCTTAACTACTTTATTTTGTTTTTTGAGACAGGGTCTCGCCCTGTCACTCAGCCTGGAGGGCGGTGGCGTGATTACGGCTCACTATAACTTCAACCTCCAGTCTCAAGCAATCCTCCCATCTCAGCCTCCTGAGTAGCTGGGACTATGGGTGTGAGCCACTATGCCTGGATAATTTATTTTATTCTATTTTTTTTGTAGAGACAGAGGTCTCACTATATTGCCCAGGCTTGTCTTGAACTCCTGGGCTCAAATGATTCTCCTGCCTCCGCTTCTTTTTTTTTTTTTTTTTTTTTTTTTTTGAGACGGAGTCTCGCTCTGTCGCCCAGGCTGGAGTGCAGTGGCGGGATCTCGGCTCACTGCAAGCTCCGCCTCCCGGGTTCACGCCATTCTCCTGCCTCAGCCTCCCAAGTAGCTGGGACTACAGGCGCCCGCCACTACGCCTGGCTAATTTTTTGTATTTTTAGTAGAGACGGGGTTTCACCGTTTTAGCTGGGATGGTCTCGATCTCCTGACCTCGTGATCCGCCCGCCTCGGCCTCCCAAAGTGCTGGGATTACAGGCGTGAGCCACCGCGCCCGGCCCTGCCTCCGCTTCTTAAAGCACTGGGTTTACAGGCATAAGCCACCGCATCTGGCCAACTATCTTATATTGAATATGTCTCACATAGCAAAATAATGAAAGCATAGCTAATGCGAGCAAACTTAAATCCTTTCTACTTCTTAGCTGGTGGCAGGGGCACACACTTGTTCTTCAAGTACATATTTTTCCCAAACATTTGTTTCAGTGAAGAGTTCTGATAATTTTCACAGCAATGTTCTAAAAGCTACATGACAAAGCATTCACAAGGATCAAACTACATAACAACATGGGATGCACCTGCTTTAGAGAATTTGCTGCATTCTGTGTCTCCTCCAGAGCATTAATACTTCTCAAATGCTACCTACAATGATTTCATACTTACACATTTTGTTTGTTTTTCCTAAATAGACACTACTAAGAAAACACCTAAACATGGGATTATAAATAATAAATAGGAGTGTTGAAGGTAACATACGTTATACATCCTTCTTCACTAAAGCATTGTTCTGCAGTGGGGAGGCCTGTGCAAACCTACCCCCAAAGTCCGTGGAAGCTGAGGGACCAAAGAAAGAGGCTGACATATCCAGTTTCTCAGAAAGAACCATTTAATCATTTAATAGATACCTATGAATGGAATGTCTCAGGTGGTGGCAAGATGAGATGGTGAATCCCTGTACCATTACCCCCCCAGACCCAGGACTTATACGTAACAGGGAAAGAGTATTTGTGATTCAGAAGAGATGTGTAGGACAATTGAAGTACAGTCAATTTAAGGTTGTTTTGACCTCAGGGCAGGATTTACAGTAAACAGTAGATAAACTGGAAGTCTTAGAAGCCTTCCCAGGGCTAGGGTTAATCATAAGTCAACATGACAGATGAGCATCCAAGATGGAGTTGCTTTGGCCTCCACAAGCATGTTGTTTCCCTAAACTCGGAACCTTCTTCAGAACTTGAAGTGGCAGTTTTCCTGAGGTCATTAACAGTAGTGCCATGGCCTCCACCACAGGCTCTGTCTATTCCAGCACTCCCTGAAATGTAAAGCTGATGTGTGGGTTAGGAAAAATAGTGTTTTCCTTGTGTTCTGCTTTTTCTGCCCTAGGAAATTTCAGGGCTAAAGGAATTTGAGAGTTAAGCAGTGGGAATATGTTTATCTGCTCAGTTATGGGGCATAATTTTTCTTTGAAAAAGGAGTGTTGTTCAGTCTTTTTTTTTTTTGAGACAGTCTCATTCTGTCGCCCAGGCTGGAGTGCAGTGGTGTGATCTCACCTCACTACAACCTCTGCCTCCTGGATGGGTTTAAGCGATTCTCCTGCCTCAGCATCCTGAGTAGCTGGGATTAAAGGCATCCGCCATCATGCCTGGCTAATTTTTTTTTTTTTTTTTTTTTGGTATTTTTACTAGAGACAGGGTTTTACCATCTTGGCCAGGCTGGTCTCGAACTCCTGACCTCAAGTGATGCTCCCGCCTTGGCCTCCCACAGTGTTGGGATTACAGGTGTGAGCCAACGCACCTGGCTGAATGTGTTCAGTCTTGGTTTGGGTGTTCCATGTGTAGTGTAATGGTGTGATGTATGGGTTTCGAAGTGGCATTCTTCATATCTACTTGACATCCTTTAAAGGCCTCAATTTGCAATCCTCACAGAAGAGATCATGAAATAATAGTTTCAAGTTAAATTCATTATTTTCACCTTTGGATACGTTTATTGTGTTCAAAATGAAAATTTGAAAATTTGGGGCAAGACAGGATCTGATTGCCTTACTTTAGTGTAAGAACATCAGAATAGGTTTATATTGTATTTTAATTAAAAACCTGAGTCTTTTTAAAGCTTGCCAGTATTTTTTTTAAACGCTTTAGTTCTTTGTTTTCTTCATGATCTTTCTCTTCAGTTTCTCTCTCCTCTTATTTTTTGGTGTCATCAGACATCTCAGAGTGGGAAATTCTCACCGTGTCACTCCACTTCCACTTTTTCCTCATCCCCTTCTTCCTGCCCCTCCTTCTCCCCCGGTACCTCTTGGTCCTCAGGGCCCTGAGCCTCTATGGTTCATGCATATCCCCTCTATTTCGCCACTGAGTTCACGTATCTTGGCAAGTAAAGGCTTATAGGTGTCATACTTTTTTTTTTTTTTTTTCTAGAGGCTGAAATGTCTCATCACATTTGGCTTCAATTTCATGGGATTCTTCTACAGCTTTTTGAGGGCAAGGACTTGGCATTTCACCAAGCTAGGCAGGCTCTCAATAAAGTCCTTAGTCACTTTTAAGCGTCAGTCATTCTTTGCGCAGCCTAGGGCACTCTGCTGTCTGACCACTCTGCTGTGCTGTCAGTCTCCACTCAGTGCGACGCTTAATCTATGACTCCCACTACAGCCACCTGGCTTGACTTTGCGGGTTCCTTGTTTCCTGAGTCTGCCATGTTAGAGAAGTGCAAGGGTGTAGAGTGGCTGATGGAGGGGGGGGGGCCTGTGACGCCAGTGGTGGCCCCAAAGTAGGCTGTCATGTGACATCAAAGTAGATGCCTCATGGGTCCCCTGAGATTTGGGGCAGGGCTCATGCTCCTCCCCATCCATTTATGGCTGTCCACCATCCTGGGTGCCTGGATACTGAGATGACTCCAACCTGGTGTCTGTCCTCAGCAAGTTTACAGGGAAGTTGCACACAAACCAAACCTTCCACTTGACATGGAGAGCATGAAGAGATCAGTTGTCTGTCCAGAAGTGAGTAGTAGGGGGAGGGGGGCTTCACAGAGGTGGTGTCTTGAAGTTTGAGGAGGAGTTCAGGGGAGGGACCATTCAAGCCTGAGAGAGGCCACCAGCTGTCATTCAGATGTTCTACCTGAGTTTCGTCATTACAAGTCGTCCTCTTAGCAGTGTTGCCCCAAGATGCCTCACCCATTACCTTGGCAAAGAAAATCGGTAAGATTGAACACTGCCTAATGAGAGTCTATTTCACACCTTTAATTGACTAGGCCAATGTTTCTGAACTCTAATGTGTAAAAGAATCACCTGGAGAAACTCCTGGGTCTGCCCCAGATGTTCTAACTCAGTACGCGGAGTTAGGGCCCAATAATTTGCATTCAGATGCTGCCAGTTTTTGGACCATCCTTTGAGTAGCCCTGGACTGGACAACTTGATTGAGTAATGATAATAATAGAGATAAGAAAAGAATTCGTTCTTAAAACCCAGGAGATTGGTTTGACCAGGTGTGTCATTCACGTAGCCTGCAAAAAACCTGGCCCTCCCACCTTAGCCCTGTAAAATGCAAAGGTGGTTCACTATGATGTTTGAACACATGGTGTTATCTGGAGGCGGCCATCACACTTGGCACAAGTGGTGACAAGGAGAAGATGGCGGGAATCACTATATTGAGTGAAGCCAGTTTCTAATGGCTGGCATTTGCATATCAAAGCTTGCTGGCCTGGCCCTTTAAGCCACCTTTTCTGTTATAAAAGAGATGATTCAGGGGTTGTTTCTTATTATAGGAAAATTTCCACCGAGAACCTTTACCCTTACTATCTGGCTAAAATAATGTGTTAATAACCCCTGTATTATCTGTACGTGTTTAGGTGTCTGGTGGGCAACACTCAAATGTTTGCTGAATGAATTAGTGGGAGCTAAACGATGGGTGTGCGGTACATACAGAATGGAATATTATAGACATTGGAGACTATAAAAGGTCGGGGGTGGGGGGTGTAAAAAGTAAAGTAGAGGTTCCTCTTCAAAGACTTTCCTCCCCGTCTAATTAGGAATAAATAGTAACTTCTCTTAAAAGCAAAATTTATTCAAAGACCTGTGCTAACATTCTTAAATATCTGCTAGCTGTAATAAAGAAATCAATACACTTCATGTTCTTAGAGCCGACAATTTAGCCTGAATATTTTCCCTGGCATGCTTATAGTGGTCCAAGCAAGCATTAGGTCATAGCTGTCCCTCTTCCTTATTTAAAGGTGTTTTTACCTTTCTCAGCATTCCACAAGTTACTTCCTCCTTCCTTCCTCCTTCCTTTGTTCTCCTGTACCTGTGCCTCTTTTTAAAAGTTCTAAGTTGCTAGCCAGTCGGGACAAATACAGAATGTGAGGTCCCATTCCAGCCAATGGAAAGCGGACACAGCAGTAGGGTGGATGCGTCAGGTTATAAATGACCCTGCCTCCTTTGTTCGGTGTACTCTTGTGGCAAAACTTCTGGCAAGTGTACCCTTTCTGCAGGAAGTAAAAATGGCCTTGCTGAGTAAATTAAATTTATGTTCAAGTGCTATTTCTTTATGGCACCAGGGAACAAGCATTTCAAACGGGGGTGAGGGTTGAAAAATGACCTGTTTGGTACAGTGTTCACTATGTGGATGATGGGTGCACAGACTTCACCACTACACAATATATGCATGTAGGAAGCCTGCAGTTGTGCCCCTTTAAGGTATATTTAATACATATAGTTTAAAAAATTTTTTAAATGTTTGAATGAGTAGGTAAAAAATAAATATGGACCCTTTTCCTTGTGGTGGAGTATTTTATCTGTAAATTCTCCTCAGGAAGATCATTATATGGAAGATCTCAATTGTTGTATAGATATTTTGATTGAGACTTTGTTAGACATTAAACAAGTTTGTTGTAATTGTGGATCTTTCAATAGACTAAACGTTTGGAAGGAGTGACTTGTTCCAACGTCTTGGATCCGTTAAAACAAGAAGCTGCTCCTGGTGTAGATTTAAACACTCCATTGTGTGTTTTCCCAGATTCTGTCCCAACAGCCAGTGACTTCCTTCTTGCCTCTGGAACTGGCAGGCCATCCTGTCTTGTAATGCCTCAGGCCAAGGAGGGACTGAGCTGCATTAACTTGAAACTACTGGCTGTAGAAATTGTCCTTATTGTAAAGGCTTGGGCTTTTGTACTGATGCTAATTTTCTCAGACACTGTTTATGTAGGCAAAACTCCTGCTAACCAGCCCAGCAGATCAGCTGGCAGAGAGAATGTGCTGCCAGTGGGGTAGAGTTTGGGATACATTTCATGACCTACTTCCCCTCCCTACCCTGATTTTTAAACCTTTTCATCTTAAGTGCAGCAAAACCTGTGTAATAGGAGAGGTTTCCGTTTAAAATAATGACAGTGTTTAAAATAATCACAGCTCTGATTGATAATATTCAGAGCAGTGGGTCAGGATCAGTCGAACTTTTGAGAGTTCTGGTGCTTGCTTTTTATTTTTATTTTTTGAGATGGAGTCTCGCTCTGTCGCCCAGGCTGGAGTGCAGTGGCACGATCTCAGCTCACTGCAGGCTCCGCCTCCCGGGTTCACGCCATTCTCCTGCCTCAGCCTCTCAAGTAGCTGGGACTACAGGTGCCCACCACCACGCCTGGCTAATTTTTTGTATTTTTAGTAGAGACGGGGTTTCGCTGTGTTAGCCAGGATGGTCTCAATCTCCTGACCTCGTGATCCGCCCGCCTCGGCCTCCCAAAGTGCCGGGATTACAGGCGTGAGCCGCCCCCCCGCCCCTCCCCCACCAACAGCTTGCTTTGTCACTTAGGGCTTTATGATCCTGAGCAAAGCATTTAACTTCTCTAAGCCCCAAATGAGCATACGAGTGTAATACCTGCTGTTCCTATCACAAGTCCTTGTGACATTCAGATGAGTGAAAGTTCAAAAGGTCATAAACTGTAAAGGTCCATTTGAAAGAGTACATGGTTTATTATTATGTATTTTAAATAGTAGGCAATAACTTGTCATGATCACCATGTGAATGTGTACAAAAGGGTACTTAATTTATTATCATCTGAATCTGGCTCTTCAGATATCAGTAGATGTCTATAAACATCATTCCCCTTGTATCTTTTGTGTTTATGTGCCATTTAAGACACAGTTTTTTCAAAGATGATGTCTAATTTGCCACTTCCTGCACTTTGTAAAAAGCAGAAGATTAACCCAACTTCTGGAGTGTCCTGTGTAACACATTTGTGAAGTCACAGGGCATGAGTGGACAAGCTCTGAACTGTCATATCAAAGAAGGGAATATGGGAGGTTTTGTTTGGAAGTTTAATTCTTCTGTGCTGCTTTTAGTCAGCTGCTACTTGGAACACTCAAATGAAAACAAATGCTGCTGTCCTGGCAATCAAGGGAGGCTTTTAGCAGCTTGGGTAGCCTCAGGAAGGGCATTTGTTTATGACCTCGTGTACATGAGGCACTGGAAAAAAATTTGGCCCCCGAGACCCAGACTTTTTCCCAAGGAGCTCACGATCTAGTTATTGTTGTGGGAGGTAACAGAGATGTGAGTATAAACTTAATTTTTTAAAAGTCTCATTTTTATGTGCCTGTGTGTATGGAAGGCAAAGGAGAGTGAGACAAGAATAGGACCAAGAGAGGTGTAAATGACATGGCTCCGATGACTGAAGGAACACCAGGGTCCTTGGTCTCGCGCCAGTTTAGATAAAATGACACAGACACGTGTGGAGTAGTTTTAAGGAGCGGAGAGTTTATTAGGCAAGAGAGAAGCAAGGAAGAAAACAGCTCCCCGGTACAGAGACAAAGGGAGGGGGGATTCGAACGACGAGAAACCCCGTGTGTGGCAGGAAAAGTGGTTGCTTATATTGGGATGCTGGAGGAGGTGGTGTCTGGTTTGCATAGGGCCCAGGGGATTGGTTTGACCAGGTATGTTATTTACATTGCCTGTGAAAAACCTGGCGAAATTTCCCACCTTAGCTCTTTAATATGCAAATACGGATCGCCATGATGTTCTGAACACATGGTATTATCTGGAGGTAGCCATGACACTTGGCACACATGGTGACAAGAAGAAGGCAGGAGTCGCCATATTGGGTGGACCATTTCTAACGGGCGGCATTTGCGTATCAAAGCTTCCTGGCCCGGCCCTTCAAGCGGTTTTTCTGTTAGAAAAGAAATGGTTCGGGGTTTGCTTTTATTAACAGAAAAAGCCTTACCAAGAACTCCTTTTAGCCTCTCTCTCTGCCTAAAAAAACTTTTTTAAGTAACACCTGTATTATTTCCCCCCTCAAGAGAAGCAAACCTAACTGCTGTTAGGGGGTGTTGGACGATGATTCTTTGTGGCCACTTCCTGCTGAAAAGGAGCATGCAGGGGAGCAGCAGTTGGGCCTTCTCCTGAGGTTGATTTAAGGATTCTTGGAAGAATGGCGTGTCCATGTGTGGTTCTGCTTGCAGTACCATTTGGAGTTTAATTGCTTCTAGGCGAAAAGAGATACGTTTTACAAGAAGGTTTAAAATATAGTGTTAGAATAAGAGCATTAAGATTACCACCATCAGTGGGGGTCCTGTAGACCATAACTGACTTAGAGTTTGGTACCTATTAGTTACACCAATGGATTGCAATACTGGATTGTCTACACTAGATGTCGCTGTACATTACCAGAAACGTTAACATAAAAGTAACATTTTCCTTGAGAACAGCATGCATTTCTCCCTTGACTTGCCATTAGAGAATAACTTTAGGCTTAGGCCATTTTTATAACTTGCAGTATGATTGAGAGAAATACGTTATTGGATGTCTAAAGTAACTTTAGCATTAATTTTGACAATTCCTTTCCTTTAATGATTAAATTTTTTCATGATTTTCACAGACTCTCTTACAACATACATTTTTCTGACTCATTCTAAACATCCTTCCTTTAAAAAACCAGTCATTTCCTTTTATGACAAGTATTTACCATACAAAATCCTTTTTTTTTTTGTAAAATTTTTTAAAAATTATACTTGTGCACAATGTGCAGGTTTGTTACATAGGTATACATGAGCCATGTTGGTTTGCTGCACCCATCAACTCACAAAATCATTTATTTATTTATTTATTTATTTATTTATTTATTTATTTGAGACAGGATCTTGCTCTGTCACCCAGGCTGGAGTGCAGTGGTGTGATCTCAGTTCACTGCAGCCTCCACCTCCCACGTTCAAGCAATTCTTCTGTCTCAGCCTCCCCTGAGTAGCTGGGATTACAGGCACCACACAGCTAGCTTTTATATTTTTGGTAGAGCTGGGGTTTCACCATGTTGGCCAGGCTGGTCTCGAACTCCTGATCTCAAGTGATCCGCCCGCCTCGGCCTCCCAAGGTGCCGGGATTATAGGCATGAGCCATCGCACCTGGCCACAAAATCCTTTCTTATATAAAATGTATTTCTTTATAACCTTTTTTTCATAGCTTAGAGTGCATTATATTACCAACCTTTAGTAAAAAGTCCTATTAAACGTAATGATAGTAAAACTTCTATGTTTGCTTTTTATCCGTAACTATTACTCCTGCTATAAGTAAAACAACTTTGACTAAATTTTTCCTGCAATTAATCCTGTTATAAGGATGATAATCAGGCAAAATATTATGGCAATTAGAATTTTACAACCAGAATTCCACATTGTGGGTGCCACAGTGTATAGTTCTATTGCGAATAGTAGCGTAACTGTAACAATTTCCACAAGAGTGGCATAGTAAATAATTTTCATTGAAAATTTTACTTGCCAAGATATAACATTTCCCTCTGGGGATTTACAAAGTTACAAATGCAATCCCATGTATAATTAAAATTTCCCTGTAAATAATGCGTTAAAAAGAAGTTCTACTATTTGGTAGCAAATTTTGACAGGAAAGGATAGAAATGAAAAAAAGTATCTGTTGGGGTAAAGGTGGGACTGAGTAAGATGAGTAGCCCTCACTTTTTTTTTTTTTTTTTTTTTTTGGAGACAGAGTCTCTCCCAGTCGCCGAGGCTGGAGTGCAGTGGCGCGATCTCCACTCACTGCAACCTCCGCCTCCCGGGTTCAAGCGATTCTTCTGCCTCAGCCTCCTGAGTAGCTGGGATTACGGCACGTGCCACCACACCCGGCTAATTTTCTTTGGTATCTTTAGTAGAGACAGGGTTTCACCATGTTGGCCAGGCTGGTCTTGAACTCCTGACCTCGTGATCTGCCTGCCTCGTCCTCCCAAAGTGCTGGGATTACAGGCGTGAGCCAATGTGCTCAGCCTACTCACTTATCTTTTATAATTTTCAACTTAAGATGTTCTATTAATACCACATTTCTTGGGTTAAATAAAGGTTTTATTTCCTGGGGTTGGGCTTCTGCTGGTTGTGTTAATTCTTGTGGGAAGTGAGCTTAGAGAGGTTACATGCTTAACCAATTTAGAGCTTTTCTGCCTGAAAAGAAATCTCTGAACACATTGGTAAGTTTTATCCATTCCCAAGTAAAAAGCTCGGTGAAGGATTTTAAGGACTTTCATCGGCTGCAGGCTGGCAAATAGAGTTTGCCATCCTGACTGTCGCCGTCCTGAGGGCTGAAAAGTATGCGGCTGAGAAGTGGCCTATTCTGTTTCTGCAGAGGAATACTGAGGTTTAATTTCTTTTAAAATGGAGCCCTCCTAGATTAGAAGGGCTCAAAGTGTGTTAGTGCCTTGAGGCTTCCTTGCCTTTGACTTGGCTGCCTGATCAGCTAATCTGTTTCCTTCTGCTACCTTATCTGTTCCCTTTCAGTGTTCCCTACAATACATCCCTGCTGTCTCTCATGAAAGAAAAACTGAGGATAACCTGCTAATTTCCTGGTAATATTTTATAGGAGATATATTAGTGTTAAGAAAATGCCTTTCCTTTCAAATGGCAGCATGAGCATGGAAAATCAGGAAAGCATACTTGGAGTCAGTATAAATGTTAGCCACCTTTCCCTTGCTTAATTTAGGTGCTCTTGTAAGAGCTCTTAGCTCAGCCAATTGAGCGCTTGTGTTTGGGGAGAGTGACTACTGCCTCTCCTGCTTTATGTACCTCTTGCTTCACTGGCTGTTTGCCGGCTAAGAGCTCCCCCTAGAGGACAGTGATCCTGCCACATTATGTGGGGTGTAAACAGTTAAATTATTTCCTAGGGTTAACTAGGAGGCTTTTCTGACTAGTAGAGCTACTATGACAATGGCTTGGAAGCATTTGTAAATAGGTCCTCCTAACCACAACTAAGGTTGAGAAAAATATTGGATTAGAGTTTTTCTTGAAATGCCCCTTATAGTTGCGCTATAGGAAGAGAGGAGGCCTGGCTTAGAGAGGAGAAAAGAGAGAGACTGGGTCTAGTGTTTAGAAGGAGGTCTGCTTCCTTTTCTTCAATGTCCAGTATCACCTGGGGCTCCTATGCTATGATGGCAGTTTGAGCTGCTGGAGCTGAGGTTTGGGCCCCAGGACCCATCAGTCCTGTGGGACCATCTGTGAGACTGGCTCTGAACCCAGTGACCTCCATATCTGGGGACAGTTCTGTCTCCACTGGTTTTTGCCACTGGATGGACAGGGTTGAGGTGGCTTCGTCTTGCTGCCTGGGCATTCCTCTTTAAAATACCCTGGCCTGCCACACTGATAGCAACTAATGGATGCATCTTGGGGCTCCTGGACTTTGCCAGCCTGCAAAGCTGCTGCTAGAGCCTTTGTCCTTCCCCTGAGCTTTCTCTCTTTCTTTTGGGCCTCCTCCTGGTCCCTATTATAAAAGACCGAAGTGGCCCCCTTCAGGAGGTTCTCTAAGGTGCTATTTGGTCCCATAGCTTGCTTCTGTAGTTTTCTTCTAATATTGGGAGCTGCCTGTGTAATAAAACTGTCCTTCAGGATGAGCTGTCTCTCCACTGAATCAGGGGATAAAAGGAAGAGTGTTCTATTAGTGCCTCTATCAGCCTTTCTATAAAGGCCACAGGATTCTCATCTGGCTTTTGGTCTATTATAGACAGTTTAGAGTAATTGAGAGGTTTGGCCCTGGTTTTCCATAGGCCTTCTAAAACGCGTATTAAAAAGGGCTTCCTGGCCAGGTGCGGTGGCTCTCACTGTAATTCCAGCACTTTGGGAGGCTAAGGCAGGCAGATCACCTGAGGTCGGGCGTTTGAAACTAGCCTGTCCAACTTGGTGAAACGGTACTCAACATGTAGGCAATTATAATGCAGTGGTAAGTATTTGTAGATCTAATACTTGGTGAAACTTGGTACTCAGCACTGTAGGCAATTACAATGTAATGGTAAGTATTTGTATATCTAAACATAGAAAAGGTACAGCAAAATATGATACAAAAGATTAAAAAATGCTACCCCTGTGTAAGGCACTTACCGTGGAGCTTGCAGGAGTAGAATTTGCTCTGGGTGAATCAGTGAATGAGTAGTAAGCAAATGTGAAGGCCTAGGACATTACTATGCATTACTGTAGGCCTTATAAATACTGTACACTTAGGTTACACTAAATTTGTTTTAAAAATTAAGTAATTGCACTACAATGTCACAATGACAACAATGCCACTAGGTTATAAGAGTTTTCCAGCTCCATCATAATCTATGGAACCACCCTCATATATGTGATCTGTTCTTGAGCAAAATGTCATCATGCAGCACCTGACTATATGTAACAAGTATGTGTGTGCCTGTGTGCATGTGTGTATGTATATATACATGCTACATTTATATACACCTGATATGTGCATGTGTAATTATATATGTAACAAGTATGTGTGTGCCTGTGTGCATGTGTGTATGTATATATACATGCTACATTTATACACACCTGATATGTGCATGTGTAAATATATATACACACATGTAGCAGGTGTATATATAGGTAGCATATATATATATTTGTATATATATCTATATATGTGTGTGTGTGTGTGTGTGTGTATGTGTATGTGTGTGTAGCAGCGGTTTTGTGCTAGAACCAAGAGCCTGGAACTGGTACAATGAAAATATTTTACCCGAAAGGTATGCTAAGTAAAAGTCCCAAGTTTCACACATTTTTGAGGATCAAAGTGAAGAACTCAAAGTGAATTATTAGGTAATCATATCTACTTCTTCCTAAACCCTCCATCTGATTCTGTGCTAAAATTTAATAAATACCAACTGATCTTTCCATCTCCATAAAATTCTTTGAGTTAACGAAATCCTACTTTCTGGTTTCTGAAGGATGGTATTCTGCAAATGTAAAAGTTTCCCTTAACCTCCAAAAAATAATTGGGTTAATCCAGCTACCACAAGTGTGAAATTGAGAAGCTGCTTGCTAAGATTGAATTTAATATTGTCACATGTCATCTGAGAGCTGCTTGTCTGATCATGTTGCCACTGGACAAAGTAAGCCTTACTACAAAGGATAAAAGAATGATTATTTCAATATCCAGTCATAGTTCATCATCAAACTCTGAGTAAAATGGAGAGAAAAAGACGTTTTATCTTATATGACTATGCATTTCTCTGGGAAGTCATTTATCTGGTTACTATCTAGGAGAGCAAAGATAATGGGAAAAATCTTCCATTATTCTCAACTATAATTTTAAATATGAAATTTTCATAAAATAGGTTTTTGGTTCTTTTAAAAGCCCTCAATATAAGAAAATGAAATATTAGAAACTTATTTTATAAAATATATTTGTGAACCATAAAACCCCATATAAAACGGAAATTATTATTACCATTAACTACTGATGCTTCTAATGTTATTCTCTAATGGTTAAAAAATGACTAGAATTTAGAGTTACTGCCAATATATGGGGAGGATTTTATAAAAATAGCTTTATTCATTTGCATGTTAAGCAAGAGTGTGATTACTGATGGCCGTAAGAGTCCCTTGCTGCTTTAAGCTCTGCTCTGCTGCTGACTCTACATGTGTAGCTTTGAGAGGTCCTTTAGCCCCTCCAGCTTTCCTCATAGTCAGGATGTGGCTATTGTACTTGATGATATCCCAAACATGCTTCTGATTCCAACATTCAATGGTTCTGTGATATTTCTACCTTATTAGAAAAGACATTCACTTTAAAAGTATAAACGCTGTAGTAACTTTTTTCTTTCATTGTTTTCAATAAAAGTGTAATGGAAGTAAACTGACAAGTTTAGGAGGCTTTCAGAACATAAAGGAGAAAGGCTGACAGCTCTTGAGAACCTCTTTGCTTTCAGCTGAGAGCAAGTAGAGAATGCTTGCTCTCTGGCCCTGAATGTCATAATATTATGTTCAGAATCATTGAAATGTCTGACAACACTGTTGATTAAAAATGAGAATCATTAGGTCATGTCTGCCGTTATAGGATGAAGGGTAGTTTGAACAGTGTGAAAAAAACTATCCCAAAAGGATGATTTGTCTTAGACAATATTAACAAAATTTCAAATTATAATATGAATAGTAATTTATAGTAATTCACTTTTCTTATTTTTCTATATTTAGCTTTATCTTAAAAGTTCCTGTTCATTGGTAATGCTTTGAAAAATGCTGGATTTAGAATTATGGACTATCAACTAATATTATGGATGATATTATTTAGAAACCATTCTGTATGCTACACAAGTCCTTTGAAAATGATATGAGCTGGACACAGTGGCTCACACCTGTAATCCCAGCCCTTTGGGAGGCCAAGGCAGGTGGATCACGTGAGGTCAGGAGATCAAGACTAGCCTGGCCAAGATGGCGAAACCCCATCTCTACTAAAAATACAAAAATTAGTTGGGTGTGGTGGCAGGTGCCTGTAATCCCAGCTACTCAGGAGGCTGAAGCAGGAGAATCACTTGAACCCAGGAGGCGGAGGTTGCAGTGAGCCGAGATTGTGCCACTGCCCTCCAGCCTGGGTGACTCCATGTCAAAAAAATAAATAACCACTAAAATGGCTATTATTCATCTTTCAAAATCTGTTAATACCTGGAAGTTCTGCATGACCTTTAGGAAAACTACATCCACAAAACATTCCTTCTAGTTTCCTAATAAGTTTTAGAAGAAATATTACCATTCTGAGCTAAAATAGTTCTACTTCCTTAGGGCAAATTCCTCTCATAACATGAAATAGGCAAATACAATTACTCTAAAAAAAGTTCAGCCATAGCATCTTAGAGTTTAAAGGAATAACCCTTAGGAGTTCACATAATTTTTTTCCACTGCTTCCTAGGCAGATCTCATTTAGTGTAGCTGGCGTGTTGCCCTGCCCACACGAACAGTGGACTTCTCCAAACATTTCTTTAAATATTTTTCTCACAAAATGAGAAGTTGAATCAAAACGTTGGTGTTAATTCAGTGTCTCAAAGACATTAGACCCAAGGCCTCTGTCTTTTCCTCATGGTTGCTGATGAAGGCCGAAGCTATAGCCATAATGGTAATATTCCAGTTGGAGAGAGAAGAAACTACTCTTTTGTATACTAAAAATACAAAAATTAGCTGGGTGTGGTGGCATGCGCCTGTAGTCCCAGCTACTTGAGAGGCTAGTACAGGAGTCGCTATGTTTTTAGCCAGCCCATTCAGTTTTTGTAAAGCTCCATCATTACATTTTTCATCATACTGACCTAATACCTAGCTATATTTAGCTTGCTCACGCTCTGCCTTCTGGGGGGAAAATATATATGTCTGTGCATTCTCTATATCTACCTAGTATCAATTAGAGTTTTATGTTTTCCTGCATGTAACAGAAAACACGTTAACAGTGGACTTCTCCAGATACTTCTTTAAATATTTTTCTCACAAAATGAGAAGTCGAATGAAAGCATTGGTGTCAATTCAGTGTCTCAAAGATATTAGACCCAAGGCCTCTGTCTTTTCCTCACGGTTGCTGATGAAGGCTGAAGCTATAGTCATCACGGTAATATTCCAGTCGGAGAGAGAAGAAACTACTCTTTTGTAAACTAAAAATACAAAAATTAGCCAGGTGTGGTGGCAGGTGCCTGTAGTCCCAGCTACTCAGGAGGCTGAGGCAGGAGAATCGCTTGAACCTGGGAGGCGGAGCTTGTAGTGAGCCGAGATTGTGCCATTGCACTCCAGCCTGGGCAACAGAGCGAGACTCTCTCAAAAAAAAAAAAAAAAAAAAAAAAAATGCTTCCTTTTCCATTTGTTTCCTGAGCTTATTGGTGTTCCAGTTAGGGTTATTTACTGAAACTGCTTCCCTCCCTATTGGGAATGGTGTTTCTGATATTTTTTCACTTTCCCTACCTGCTTTCTTCCCTTTTGGTGTATTATAGGAGATATATTGCTCATCTCTGAAATTATCTGCTGCTTACAGAGCTACCTGCTCTTCAACTGCAGTGAGGGTCTGGTTTAGGAGGAGAGTAACATCCCTGCATGTGAGGTGAAATACCTGAGTTAAATTTTGGAAAGCTTTTATGTACCAATCATGGTTGTTAGAAAATTGGCCTAAGTCATCTTTTATTTGCCTAAGGTTTTGTTATGAGACGGGAACTTGAAGGGGGCCCAAATAAGGGGGATCCTCAAATGGTTCCCTGGAAGTTGCTTCTTTAACTTTTGGGGAACTGTTTTCCCTGGGACTGCCCAATATGATTGCTAAAAGAGCTGGGTTGATCTTACAGTGCTTGGCAAAGGTTTAGTAAAAATGCCATGCCCTTGTATAAAAGAAAATGAGTTGCTTTTCTCTTTAAAGTCCTTAGGTTAAGGAAGTGTTCCAGTGCTGTAGAGTGCACTCCAGAGGGGTGCAAGCTGAAGAAAATCTGTTACCCATCTAGAAAAAGAAGTGAGAATAAAAGCATCCTCTTAGTCTCCTTCCTTTCCGTATGACCTAGGGTGGAGGAAAAGACAGGGAGTGTTCGACTGTTTTCCCTCCCTGGTTCCTGGGTTCTGCCACCAAGTTAAATATGCCGCCCATGGTTGAAGACATGGTCCTCCAAGCCATGGAACTGGATAAACTAAGTGATGGGACTAACCGTGCTTTACTGCGCAACCTTAGGTCATCCACCTTCTGTGATTTCCCTTTGACTTCCTAAACCTGTGTGATCTGCCTGGCTCCCCAAAAAACGTATCTCCAGAGAGACTGTGTCGTCTTTGAGCAAGGCTCCTTTAATGGAGGTAGTGTGCTAGATTGCCTGCTATTATGCCCCGTGCTAAAGCATTTACTCCTAGAAAAATGGTTCTGGTTAACTTCCGTACTTAAAATCCCCTTACTAATTAAGTACTGTCTTGGAGACAGAGTAGGTGCCTTAAAAATACATAGGAACCGAATGGCCGTTTTCCCTGCTGATGGGACGCATTGAGACTAAAATTTGGCCACAGAAGACATCTTACTCCTAACTGTTGAAAACAGAGCTCTCCTGTTTACACAAGTAGCCTAGAGCCTGATTTTTAGTGGTGTGAAAGGAGATTGCAGTGTACAGCAAAGGACCAGCAATATGTCCTATGAAGAGGATTTCTATTTCCACTAGGCGGCGCTGTTGGCTTAGAAATACCTTGGGCTCGCCAGAGGATTACTAGCCGGTAATCTCACTGTTGGAGGTGGAAAAGGGGAGAACTCTGTTCCTAGAAGGTTGCAATGGCATTTTCCTGAGCTATATCCCAGGTCTACAGCATTTCCTGATCTTGCCTAACAGGATTACTTCTCTAGGCTGTAAAAATTCCCACACATTCAACACACAGAAAGTAAGAGATCGCAGACAGAGAAACCAGGAAAGAAGGAAGGTTTTGCAACAGGATAGCCGGCAGACAGCCTTGAGATTAAAGGACAGATCTGAGATTGAGATTTGCTCCATACTCACCGCTCCGATGAATGAATTCCTGGCCAATGCACCAAAATGATACGGCTCCGATGACTGGAGGAACACCAGGGTCCTTGGTCTCGCACCAGTTTAGATAAAATGACACAGACACACATGTAATGGTTTTAAGGAGTGGAGAGTTTATTAGGCAAGAAGGAAGGAAGAAGAAAACAGCTCCCCCATACAGAGACAGAGGGAGGGGGGATTAGAACAAACAGAAACTTGGTGTGTGGCAGAAAAGTGGTTGCTTATATTGGGATGCTGCAGGGGGCAGTGTCTGGTTTGCATAGGGCCCAGGGGATTGGTTTGACCAGGTGTGTCATTTATGTAGCCTGCAAAACACCTGGTCCACCCACCTTAGCCCTTTAATATGCAAATGCAGGTTGCCATGATGTTCTGAACACATGGTGTTATCCGGAGGCAGCCATGACACGTGGCACACACCGGGACAGGAAGAAGAAGGCAGGAGTTGCCATATTGGGTGGACAATTTCTAATAGCCAGCATTTGCATATCAAAGCTTGCCAGACTGGCCCTTCAAGTCGTTTTTCTGTTAGAAAAGAAATGGCTTGGGTTCCAAGAATAGAAGCAGCTCCAGTCTACAGCTCCCAGCATGAGTGACACAGAAGATGGGTGATTTCTGCATTTCCAACTGAGGCACTGGGTTCATCTCACTGGGACTTGTTGGACAGTGGGTGCAGCCACGGAGTGTGAGCCAAAGCAGGGTGGGGCATCGCCTCACCCGGGAAGCACAAGGGGTCGGGGAATTCCCTTTCCTAGCCAAGGGAAGCTGTGACAGATGGTACCTGGAAAATCGGGACATTCCCACCCTAATACTGTGCTTTTCCAGTGGTCTTAGCAAATGGCAGACCAGGAGATTATATCCCGCGCATGGCTCGGCGGGTCCGACACCCATGGAGCCTTGCTCACTGCTAGCACAGCAGTCCAAGATCAAACTGCGAGGCAGCAGCAAGGCTGGGGGAGGGGTGTCCACCATTGCTGAGGCTTGATGAGGTAAACAAAGTGGCCAGGAAGCTCGAACTGGGTGGAGCCCACCACAGCTCAACGAGGCCTGCCTGCCTCTGTAGACTCCACCTCTGGGGGCAGGGCATAGCTGAACAAAAGGCAGCAGAAACTTCTGCAGACTTAAACATCCCTGTCTGACAGCTTTGAAGAGAGTAGTGGTTGTCCCAGCATGGAGTTTGAGATCTGAGAACGGACAGACTGCCTCCTCAAGTGGGTCCCTGACCCCTCAGTAGCCTAACTGGGAGGCACCTCCCAGTGGGGGCCAACTGACACCTCATACAGCCAGGTGCCCCTCTGAGACAAAGCTTCCAGAGGAAGGATCAGGCAGCAACATTTACTGTTCTGCAATCTTTGCTGTTCTGCAGCCTCTGCTGGTGATACCCAGGCAAACAAGGTCTGGAGTGGACCTCCAGCGAACTCCAACAGACCTGCAGCTGAGGGTCCTGACTGTTAGGAGGAAAACTAACAAACAGAAAGGAATAGCATCAACATCAACAAAAAAGACATCCACACCAAAACCCCATCTGTAGGTCACCATCATCAAAGACCAAAGGTAGATAAAATCACAAAGATGGGGAGAAACCAGAGCAGAAAAGCTGAAAATTCTAAAAATCAGAGTGCCTCATCTACACCAAAGGATCACAGCGCCTCGCCAGCAACGGAACAAAGCTGGATGGGGAATGACTTTGATGAGTTGACAGAATTAGGCTTCAGAAAATCGGTAATGACAAACTTCTCCCAGCTAAAGGAGGATGTTCGAACCCATCACAAAGAAGCTAAAAACCTAGAAAAAAGATTAGACAAATGGCTAACTAGAATAAACAGCATAGAGGAGACCTTAAATGACCTGATGGAGCTGAAAACCATGGCACGAGAACTACGTGACACATGCACAAGCTTCAGTAGCCGATTCGATCAAGTGGAAGAAGGGGGTCAGTGATTGAAGATCAAATGAATGAAATGAAGCAAGAAGAGAAGTTTAGAGAAAAAAGAGTAAAGAGACAAACAAAGCCTCCAAGAAATATGGGACTATGTGAAAAGACCAAATCTACTTTTGATTGGTGTACCTGAAAGTGACGGGGAGAATGGAACCAAGTTGGAAAACACTCTGCAGGATATTATCCAGGAGAACTTCCCCAACCTAGCAGGGCAGGCCAACATTCAAATTCAGGAAACACAGAGAATGCCACAAAGATACTCCTCGTGAAGAGCAACCCCAAGACACATAATTGTCAGATTCACCAAGGTTGAAATGAAGAAAAAAATGTCAAGCGCAGCCAGAGAGAAAGGTCAGGTTACGTACAAAGGGAAGCCCATCCGACCAATAGTGGATCTCTCTGCAGAAACTCTACAAGCCAGACGAGAGTGGGGGCCAATATTCAACATTCTTAAAGAAAAGAATTTTCAACCCAGAATTTCATATCCAGCCAAACTAAGCTTCATAAGTGAAGGAGAAATAAAATCCTTTACAGACAAGCAAATGCTGAGAGATTTTTGTCACCAGTAGGCCTGCCTTACAAGAGCTCCTGAAGGAAGCACTAAACATGGAAAGGAACAACTGGTACCAGCCACTGCAAAAACATGCCAAATTGTAAAGACCATCGAGGCTAGGAAGAAACTGCATCAACTAACGAGCAAAATAACCAGCTAATATCATAATGACAGGATCAAATTCACACATAAGAATATTAGCCTTAAATGTAAATGGGCTAAATGCCCCAATTAAAAGACACAGACTAGCAAATCAGATAAATCAAGACCCATCAGTGTGCTGTATTCAGGAGACCCATCTCACATGCAGAGACACACATAGGCTCAAAATAAAGGGATGGAGGAAGATCTACCAAGCAAATGGAAAACAAAAAAAAGCAGGGGTTGCAATCCTAGTCTCTGATAAAAGAGACTTTAAACCAACAAAGATCAAAAGAGACAAAGAAGGCCATTACATAATGGTAAAGGGATCAATTCAACAAGAAGTGCTAACTATCCTAAATATATATGCACCCAATACAGGAGCACCCAGATTCATAAAGCAAGTCCTTAGAGACCTATAAAGAGACTTAGACTCCCAAACAATAATATTGGGAGACTTTAACACCCTACTGTCAACATTAGACAGATCAACGAGGCAGAAAGTTAATAAAAATATCCAGGACTTGAACTCAGCTCTACACCAAGCAGACCTAATAGACATCTACAGAACTCTCCATCCCAAATCAACAGAATATACATTCTTCTCAGCACCACATTGCACTCATTCCAAAATTGACCACATGGTTGGAAGTAAAGCTCTCCTCAGCAAATGTAAAAGAACAGAAATTATAACAAACTGTCTCTCAGACCACAGTGCAATCAAATTAGAACTCAGGATTAAGAAACTCACTCAAAACTACTCAACTACATGGAAACTGAACAACCTGCTCCTGAATTACTACTGGGTAAATAAGGAAATGAAGGCAGAAATAAAGATGTTCTTTGAAACCAACGAGAACAAAGACATGACATACCAGAATCTCTGGGACACATTTAAAGCAGTGTGTAGAAGTAAATTTATGCACTAAATGCCCACAAGAGAAAGCAGGAAAGATCTAAAATTGACACCCTAACATCACAATTAAAAGAACTAGAGAAGCAAGAGCAAACACATTCAAAAGCTAGCAGAAGGCAATAAATAACTAAGATCATAGCAGAACTGAAGGAGATAGAGACACAAAAAACCCTTCAAGAAATCAAAGAATCCAGGAGCTGGTTTTTTGAAAGGATCAACAAAATTGATAGACCGCTAGCAAGACTAATAAGAAAAGAGAGAAGAATCAAATAGATGCAATAAAAAATGATAAAGGGTATATCACCACCGATCCCACAGAAATACAAACTACCATCAGAGAATATTATGAACACCTCTACGCAAATAAACTAGAAAATCTAGAAGAAATGGATAAATTCCTGGACACATACACTCTCCCAAGACTAAACCAGGAAGAAGTTGAATCCCTGAATAGACCAATAACAGGTTCTGAAATTGAGGCAATAATTAATAGCCTACCAACCAAAAAAATTCCAGGGCCAGACAGATTCACAGCCAAATTCTACCAGAGGTACAAAGAGGAGCTGGTACCATTCCTTCTGAAACTATTCCAATCATAGAAAAAGAGGGAATCCTCCCTAACTCATTTTATAAGGCCAGCATCATCCTGATACCTAAGTCTGGCAGACACAACAAAAAAAGAGAATTTTAGGCCAATGTCCCTGATGAACATCGATGCAAAAATCCTCAATAAAATACTGGCAAACCGAATCCAGCAGCACATCAAAAAGCTTATCCACCACGATCAAGTTGGCTTCATCCCTGGGGTGCAAGGTTGGTTCAACATATGAAAATCAATAAATGTAATCCATCTTATAAACAGAACCAAAGACAAAAACCACATGATTATCTCAATAGATGCAGAAAAAGCCTTTGACAAAATTCAACAGCCTTCATGCTAAAAACTCTCAATAAACTAGGTATTGGTGGGACATAACTCAAAATAATAAGAGCTATGTATGACAAACCCACAGCCAATACCATACTGAATAGGCAAAAACTGGAAGCTTTCCCTTTAAAAACTGGCACAAGAGGAGGGATGCCCTCTCTCACCACTCCTATTCAACATAGTGTTGGAAGTTCTGGCCAGGGCAATCAGGCATGAGAAAGAAATACAGGGTATTCAATTAGGAAAAGAGGAAGTCAAATTGTCCCTGTTTGCAGATGATTGTATATTTAGAAAACCCCATCATCTCAGCCCAAAATCTCCTTAAGCTGATAAGCAAATTCAGCAAAGTCTCAGGATACAAAATCAATGTGCAAAAATCACAAGCATTCCTATACACCAATAAGAGACAAACAGAGAGGCAAATCATGAGTGAACTCCCATTCACAGTTGCTTCAAAGAGAATAAAATACCTAGGAATCCAACTTACAAGGGATGTGAAGGACCTCTTCAAGGAGAACTACAAACCACTGCTCAATGAAATAAAAGAGGACACAAACAAATGGAAGAACATTCCATGCTCATGGATAGGAAGAATCAATATTGTGAAAATGGCCATACTGCCCAAGGAAATTTATAAATTCCATGCCATCCCCATCAAGCTACCAATGACTCTTCACAGAATTGGAAAAAAATACTTTAAAGTTCATATGGAGCCAAAAAAGAGCCTGCATTGCCAAGACAATCCTAAGCCAAAAGAACAAAGCTGGAGGCATCATGCTACCTGACTTCAAACTATACTATAAGGCTACAGTAACCAAAACAGCATGGTACTGGTACCAAAAGGGAGATATAGACCAATGGAACAGAACAGAGCCTTCAGAAATAATACCACACATCTACAACTATCTGATCTTTGACAAACCTGACAAAAACAAGAAATGGGGAAAGGATTCCCTATTTAATAAATGGTGCTGGGAAAACTGGCTAGCCATATGTAGAAAGCTGAAACTGGATCCCTTCCTTACATGTTATACAAAAATTAATTCAAGATGTATTAAAGACATAAATGTGAGACCTAAAACCATAAAAACCCTAGAAGAAAACCTAGGCAATACCATTCAGGGACATAGGCATGGGCAAGGGCTTCATGACTAAAACACCAAAAGCAATAGCAGCAAAAGCCAAAATAGACAAATGGGATCTAATTAAACTAAAGAGCTTCTGCACAGCAAAAGAAACTACCATCAAAGTGAACAGGCAGCCTACAGAATGGGAGAAAATTTTTACAATCTTCCCATCTGACAAAGGGCTAATATCCAGAATCTACAAAGAACTTAAACAAATTTACAAGAAAAAATCAATCCCATCAAAAAGTGGGTGAAGGATATCAACAGACACTTCTCACAGTAAGACATTTATGCAGCCAACAGACACAGGAAAAAATGCTCATCATCACTGGCCATCAGAGAAATGCAAATCAAAACCACAATGAGATACCATCTCACACCAGTTAGAATGGCAATCATCACAAAGTCAGGAAACAACAGGTGCTGGAGAGGATGTGGAGAAATAAGAATGCTTTTACACTGTGGGTGGAAGTGTAAACTAGTTCAACCATTGTGGAAGACAGTGTGGCAATTCCTCAAGGATCTAGAACTAGAAATACCATTTGACCCAGCAATCCCATTACTGCGTATATACCCAAAGGATTATAAATCATGCTACTATAAAGACACATGCACATGTATGTTTATTGTGGCACTATTCACAATAGCAAAGACTTGGAACCAACCCAAATGTCCATCAATGATAGACTGGATTAAGAAAATGTGGCGCATATACACCATGGAATACTATGCAGCCATAAAAAATGATGAGTTCATGTCCTTTGTAGGGACATGGATGAAGCTGGAAACCATCATTCTGAGCAAACTGTTGCAAGGACAGAAAACCAAACACTGCATGTTCTCACTCATAGATGGGAATTGAACAATGAGCACACTTGGACACAGGGTGGGGAGCATCACACACTGGGGCCTGTCGTGGGGAGGGGGGAGGGATAGCATTAGGAGAAACACCTAATGTAAATGTCGAGTTAATGGGTGCAGCACACCAACATGGCACATGTATACATATGTAACAAACTTGCACGTTGTGCACATGTACCCTAGAACTTAAAGTATAAAAAAAAAAAAAGAAATGCTTCAGGGGTTGCTTTTATTAAAAGAAAAAGCCTTACCAAGAACTCCTCTCTATCTGCCTAAAAATTATTTTTTAATAACTCCTGTATTATTACCAGGGAAGGCTCAAGAGAGTGATGTGCTGTTGAGGAAGAGCTGAAGGAAAGGGGAAAGATGGGGGTGGCTGTTTGATCCAGAGTGGTCAAGCATAGAGCTATGCTGCCATAGTCACTGAGCCCAGGAGAGTTACAAATCCTTTCTGGGCCTTAGTTTCCCTTTGGGTAAATATGTGAAGCTATATGTTAATTTAAGATGTAAAATCTTCTAGTTTTATGATGTAGGTTTGAGAATAAATGTACTTATGTGCCAGGTCTGGCCCACAGACCCTGGCTGAGCAACGGATGAAAAAATGTGTGCAGACACAGGTTTTTTGCCTGGCTGCACAGCTAGGGGACCGGGCCACTCACAGACACCAAGGAGGGTGCTATAAAGAGTCAGCAGCCACAGCCCTGACAAGCTGGTGCTACAGGCATTTATTTAGTACAGATTTAATGACTTTGAGTCAACACATCTTGTGAGTAATTAACATGGTTGTCCCCCTGGAGAGAGCAGTCCTGTGCACAGATGATTAAAGGCCAGGTTCTGAGGCCCAAGTAAACTAACTTAACCAGATCAATTCCTTTATACTTGCTTGTTAATCTGCCTTTTGCTCTCAGCCTCCCGATAAAAGAATTTGGCTGCCTTCAGCCAAATTATCTTTCAAAGCTTTTGCAAAACCTCCCAGCCTTCCAAGAAGGTTTTTGTCTTTCTCTATAACTTCTATAATTTTTCCCACCACCCTGACCAAACTCCTACACTCATGAATGGCAATAGAGGGTGATGGTTGAGGGTTTTGGAGCCAGAATGCTTGGGTTCAAATCCAGTTCACCATTTACTGCCTGAGTGACCTTGGGTGATTCACTGACCCCCCGTGGTCTGAGATTCCTTGACAATGAGAACAGTGACTAGCAGAGAGCAAACGTCAGCACACGTGAGCTACTGCCCTTGACATATCCTGTAGACTATAGGAGGATTTTGGAGCTAAGCCAGTATTTTGGCAATATGGAAACTACTTGTTTTCTGTGTTGATAGTAAAAAAAAAAAAAAAAAAAAAAAAAAAAAGTTTTGGAATTGGAAAGAGACAACCTTATCCTTTTTGCCCTTCCTGAGACTGAACTGCAGCCCTAGAGGTTTTCTGGGAGGAAAAAAACCAAATGTTTTAGGGTGACAGGGTTAGAGTGTTAAATCCGTCTGTGAGCTCTTTTATTTCTCTGAGCTAGATTTTGTTATGTAGTGGCAGTAAGGTTCTCCTTAGGTTTGCTTTGTAGCTTGTCATGAAATTCCTGGATATTTGAGGAAACAATTGGAAATTTTATAATTGTGCAATCTAATGAGAGAACCCTACTATTGCCTACTTATTTTGTGCTTTACAGGTTGGCTTAATAATTCCGTCCAATACTTTGCTATGTGTAGAGGGTGCCACTGTGCTCCACATAGAACCCTTTAGGTCCATGCATGCCCTCATGTGGGACAAAAGGTTTCCTCTACAAAAATAATTCTGAGTAAAAGAAATAAGGGAAGAAGGACAGGTACAGGAAAAATCCCTAGCCAGATGGCGATCCACCAAAGGTCTGGAACCTGAGCAGGTGCCCATTTTTATGGTTATTTCTTATGCGCTAAACAAGGGTAGATTATTCATGCCTCCCCTTTTAGATTATACAGGGTAACTTCCTGATGTTGCGGTGGCATTTGTAAACTGTCATGGTGCTGGTGGGAGTGTAGCAGTGAGGACCACCAGAGGTCACTCTCATTGCCATCTTGGTTTTGATGGGTTTTATCCGGCTACTTTACTGCAACCTGTTTTATCAGCAAGGTCTCTATGACCTGTGTTTTGTGCTGACCTCCTGTCTCATCCTGTGACTTAGAATGCCTTAACCATCTGAGAATGCAGCCCAGTAGGTCTCAGCCTCATTTTACCCAGCCCCTATTCAAGACAGAGATGCTCTGGGTCACATACCTCTGACAAACTGACTTGCAAAATTCCTGTAGATTTATCATTTGGTTTGTGAGACCCAGCAAGAGCTGGTTTCAGCATACCAGTGAAGGGCATTGCCAAAGAGAATGGCAGGTTAAAAAAATGAAAAATGTTAGGCAAGTTATGCTTGACTGCAAGGGGTAGGGTGGTGAGAAATGAGGTTCCAATGTAGAGTGGGACCAGACTGGAATGCCAACTTTAGATTTTTCTTTTTTTCCTGTAAGAAACAGGAAGTCAGCAGAAGTTTTTAAGCAGGCAGGTAATGTGATCAGCCTTTCAGGGTAGAAACTCTGACAGCAGTATGCAGCAAGTTATAGAGAAAGACTGTTATCTAGAATTCAAGTTAGCAGGCAAGTGCAGAAAATAATGAGCATCTTAGCCAAGGCAGCAACGAGAGCGGGGGTGGAGCTGGGGTAGAACTTGGTCAGAAAACGTTGGCAGGTGGAGTTAATAGGGTTTGATGAGGTGATTGGAAATCATGTGAGAGAAGAAGCTGAGGACAATAGTAAGGTTTCTAGCTTAGAAGTTAGACTTATGGTTAGATAATTGAGAATTTGTGTCGTTAATTGCTCTAGGGGTGGAGAAGGGAGAGTAGGCCATATTAATTTTGAGGAGCTTGTAGGCTAGATCCTGGAGATGTTTGGAAATATGTATGGAAGCTTGAGAAAGATAGATCAAGGACTAGAAATCAGTATATGAATACAGGTCATAGGCTTTGAATTTAGTAGGCTGCTGGTAAATACTTCCTATTTGCCATGATAGTACATTGGCTTGCTCAAGGAAAGAAGGAATTGTGAAGTCGAATGAAATAAAAAATGGAACTTTTGAGAACATCATCATTTAAAGGGCCAGTGGTCAGGAGTGTAAGAACCAATCAATAAAAGACAAAAAGAAAATAAAAATGGGGGGAGTGGGGGATGAACTGTTAGTGTGGCAAGAAAAACAAGAAACTGGAGAAGAGGGAAGAAAGTTTCAAGAAAGCACAAGTTGTCAAATGTCTGCAGTGAGGCCAAGTGGGTCATTGGCATCGGCATTGGCATTGGGGTCAGGGGTTCATTGGTGAGCCTAATGGATAGTTTCATCAGACATATGGGGCTGAAGCCAGATTGCAATGGGTTACCTTCAAAGAGGGCAGTCTTTGAAAAGTCACTGTCTTTTTTTTTGGCCGGAGTCTCACTCTGTTGCCAGGCTGGAGTGCAGTGGTGCAATATTGGCTCACTGCAAGTCTCTGCCTCCCGGTGTCAAGCAATTCTCCTGCGTCAGCCTCCCGAGTAGCTGGGATTACAGGCGCGCATCACCACGCCAGGCTAATTTTTGTATTTTTTAGTACAGACAGGGTTTCACCATGTTGGCCAGGATGATCTTGATCTCCTGACCTCATGATGCACCTGCCTCGGCCTCCCAAAGTGCTGGGATTACAGGCCTGAGCCACTGCGCCCAGCCAAAAAGTCACTATCTTCTTTAGGACAAAGACAGAACTGACATCCACAGAAATCAAATTCTATTTAGAGATATATCTTCTCACTTTGCCTCCTTGCCGTCTATAAATTACCTGTTATGAATTCTCCCTTCCATCTGCTTTCCAGATCCTATGTCCTCCTTCCTCTAGGATCTCAATTCACTCAATTCCTTTTACTTCTGTAACTTTGTCTCTCTCTTGACAAGCTCTTTCCCAAGAAGCACGTTCAAGTCTCTCCCAACTGTTCTAGTGCCTTCCTTATGTCTACAAACAGTGAACGTAATCTGCCTGCATTTACTCTCTCTCTTTCTTCAACTCCTGCTCACTTTGCAACCCATTACAATATGATTTTCAGCCCCATATCTTGGATGAAACTGTCCTTAATAGGTTCACCAGTGAACCCATAGCCAACACCAATGATCTACTTGGCCTCTCTGCAGACATTTGACAACCTGCCTTCTTGAAATCTCTTCCCCCTTAATATCTCCAGTTTCTTGTTTCTGTTGCCACACTAACGATTTGTCCCTTTTCTCTCTTTTTCTCACTCCCTCTCTTGTTCTTTTTTGTCTTTTATTGATTGGTTTTTCCTGTCCTGCTCACCAGCTCTTTAAGTGAGGGTGTTTCTGAAGCTTCCATTTTTTAATTTTATTCAACTTTACCTGAGCAAATTAACTTTCCCTCTCTGGTGGAATTTACCATGTGGCCTAAATCCTCCCAGAAATGGTGCTCAGCGCTGTGCTTTGATCAGAGTTGGGTTGGAGTAGAGATCCAGGCCTCAGCAAGTGAAGATATGTTTTTGACCTTGTATTCTAGTTGAGAATAGGAAAGCGGACTTTGATACCTTGTGGGTTCTCTTTCTGTTCTTACTAGGTCAGGGCGGTGGGCAGAGGACTAAAGCGTGAACACCGCCCTGTGACCAGAAACATCTGTTTGCCTTTCCCCAACTCTCTCTCCTTCTCCAGCCTTCTGATCATGTATCAAAGGGGAAGCAGGAGGCTAGGGAAGAACCAGTAGCATACTGATACTCCATACACATAAATAACTTAGCATCTGGTCAAGTTTCAACATGAACCAACTACCTGGGTACAGAGCCAGTGCGCCACCAGATTTTACTGTCCGGTTCCACTGAGGCGTAATGAGTACCCTTATTCCCCTTCCATCTCCTTAGGTGGAATTCTTCCCCTAGATCCTGGAATGGTTATGGAGGCAAGTTTTAAGACCTCTAGAACTGTTCTAGATTACTTCAGCTAGCCAAGACAGGGTAATTTGCAGCTCACAGGGCCCTTAACACAATTCTGTGTGTTCCTGGATTTCCCAGCTACTTCTAAAGAGGTTTCAGGAAACTTTGTTACTTTCAGGTTACTTGAGTGAATCTGAATCTTTACTTCATTAAAACTCAATTCACCTCAGCTGGTACTGCGTCCAGGCAGTCTCTTTGGACAGCCTCTGTCTTTTCTCTCCTAGGCTTGGTTCCATACCTCTACTTTAAGGTCCATCTCTTAATTGAACATTAAACATTAATATTTTAATTAAATTCTCATATTTTCATGCAGATAAATAAATGTTCCATGAGATTATAGATTTTTTCTTATAATAGACACAATTAGAGCAAAATATAAAGAGAATTAAAAAGCTGATGGACTGAATGAAGTGACCGTAGTGGAAAAATTGGAGAGTCACTGACATAGAATACAAACCTTTGAATGTGAAGAACGAATCAGGTAGTGAGTTAGAATCGATGCTTTAAGTGTTAATGTTGCTGGTTCATGTTGAAACTTGACCAGATGCGAAGTCATTGATGTGTATGGGTTATCAGTGTGCTGCTGGTTCTTCCCCAGCTGCCTCCTTCCCCTTCAATATGACCATACAAATAAGCTTTTTAAAGATCACTGTTGTACATCTTTTTTAACCTGCAACAATTTCAGGACTTGATAATCCATGTGGAACTAATAACAAATGTGCATAATAGGAAAAACGATAGTCTCAGCTTCCCTAGAAACATTGGAATATCTGTCGCTGGGCTCACTTTTTTACGCAATGATCTTCTGGAGCAGAGGTGTAATATCAGTGATAACTGACTCATAAAGGGCTTCTTATGTGACAGGCACTGTTCTAGGTGCCTTAGTTTTCAGTCTTCACAACAATCTTTTGAGGTCATGTGTATAATTACTTCCATTTTGTGGATGGGAGATTGAGGTACAGAGAGGTTTGGTCATTTGCCCAGGGGCCCAGTGCTGGTAAGTGAGGGAGCTGGGATTTTAGCCCAGGTGCTCTGGCTCTGGATTATATGCTGCAGACTTCTGTGCTGCGCATGCCTCCTTTAGATTGAGCCTGTTATTGCCATGCTCCTCTTGCCTCCATTTTGCTTGTATACCTTACCTACCCATAGGTGTTTTGAGTTAAAACACTTTCCAGGCCGGGCACGGTGGCTCACGCCTGTAATCCCAGCACTTTGGGAGGCCAAGGCGGGAGGATCATGAGGTCAGGAGATCGAGACCATCCTAGCCAGCACAGTGAAACCTTGTCTTTACTAAAAATACAAAAATTAGCTGGGCGTGGTGGCATGTGCCTGTAATCCCAGCTACTCAGGAGACTGAGGCAGGAAAATCGCTTGAACCAGGGAGTCGGAGGTTGCAGTGAGCCAAGATCGCGCCATTGCACTCCAGCCTGGCAACAAAGGGAGACTCTGTCTCAAAAAAAAAAAAAAACAAAAAAACAAAAAAACAAAAAAAACAGAACAACAACAACAACAAAAACAAACCACTTTCCAATACTTGCACCTTAGTTCCAGCCCTTTTCCTTGTTAGCCATACCTATGATGGGACATCATCTAAGATGTAATTGAGGGCCAGACACCTTACTGGATTTCATCCCCAGACAGAGGTAATTCCTTTCTTCTCTGAGCTTGTGCAACCCTTTATCTAGGCCTTTCTTACCACTTACTGCTTAGCTAACTAACATCAGCTATTCATTTGCAAGCCTTGGTTCTCCTCTATTACTCTAAGTTTCAGATGATTCTCTTTCTCCCCTACAAAGTTCTCTGCCCATAGGGTATACTTCATAATTTCTATGTTGACTTAGTCAACAGAGACCAACCCCATATATAAACATAACTAATTTATATATTCATAAACAGAGCACAGTTTCTGCTTGGTTTCCTTTGATTCTTGTTTGTCCTTTGATCTTCAGCCATCAGACCTGGGTAGGGAGCCAGTGCCCCACCGGATTTCTTTGTCTGGTTCCACTGGGGCGTAATGAGTACCCTTTATCCCCTTCCATCTCATTAGGCAGAATTCTTCCCCTAGATCCTGGAATGGTTATGGAGGCAAGTTTTAAGACCTCTAGCACTGCCCTAGCTTACTTTAGCCAAGATGGAGTAATTTACAGCCCATTAGGCCCTTAAAATTTGGCTTGCTTCTGTGTTCTCCTGGAGTTTCCCAGCTCCTTCTAAAGAGGTTTCAGGAGGCTGGGTGCAGTAGCTAACATCTGTAATCCCAACACTTTGGGAGGCCAAGACGGGTGGATCACTTCAGGTCAGGAGTTCAAGACCAGCCTGGGCAACATAGTGAAACCCTGTATCTACTAAAAAAAAAAAAAATACAAAAATTAGCCAGGTGTGGTGGTAGGCATCTGTAATCCCAGCTATTTGGGAGGCTAAGGCAGGAGAATCGCTTCAACCAGGGAGGCAAAGGTTGTAGTGAGCCAAGATCATGCCACTGCTTTCCAGTATGGGCAACAGAGTGAGACTCTGTCTAAAAAAAAGAAATAGAGGTTTCAGGAAACTTTATTACTTCCAGAATGTTACTTGTGTGACTCTGAATCTGATTTCATAAGCTCAGGGAAATATAACTTGATCTATATTTTAAGCCTTCATCCTTTAGGTAGGAAACTTATTCCCAGTGAGTTTAGGAATTCCCACTCATCACTGTTTGCTTTTAGGTTTTGGAGGATCTTATACAGTGCTGAGGCATTGTGGTTTGGGGAAGCCATGTGGGTATCACTCATCCTCAGCCCACATCACTGTTCCACCCGATCCTTGGTGTTTGATCCTTACAGTTTGTCCTGAGATATCCTTTGTTCTTATCTGTAAGACAGTAGATCTTTCAAATCCATTAGCACACATTTCTATTCCTGTTGAACTCTTGGGTACATATAATGGGCTGTGGAGAAAAGACAGATTGTCTTAGGTCCATCTGCAAGACATTCATGCAGACCCTGCTACATTTATGCTTTCACTGGGCACACAGAATCATTCTGTTTTTCCCTCACCAGCTGGAGCCTGGGGCTCTAAGGCCATTTGAGGCATTATCTTTCTAGACATACCTTGCATCTACTCTTCCCTAAGGTCTTGCCTCTTTCCAGGGTTCTGTCTGGGTATGAGGCACAGGGTCAGCTGCTTCAGATTCCACAGACCTATCTGGGAGTTTTTGTACCCCAGGGTTCTTTTTTCATTGGCTCCCAGATATTTATCTATACAGCCCTCATTTCCTCTGCAACACTTTCTCTTCCCCTCTTCTACCATCTAGCCTGGGAAATCACTTTCTATTCTAGGAGACTTCTTATTCGTCATGTAATCTTCTAAATCAATGCCTATTTTTTAAAAGATTCTCGGCCGGGCGCGGTGGCTCATGCCTGTAATCCCAGCATTTTGGGAGGCGGAGGTGGGTGGATCACTTGAGGCCAGGAGTTCGAAAACAGCCTTGCCAATGTGGCAAAACCCTGTCTCTACTAAAACTACAAAATGTAGCCAGGAGTGGTGGTGCATGCCTGTAATCTCAGCTACTTGGGAGGCTAAGGCACGAGAATAGCTTGAATCTGGGAGGCGGAGGTTTCAGTGAGCCGAGATCACACCACTGCATTCCAGCCTGGGTAACAGAGCGAGACTCTACCTCAAAAAAAAAAAAAGATTCTCCAAAAGATACAGGCTTTTAAAAATCCAAAGGAAGGAAGGAACTCCCGTTTCTTTGCTTTTTTTTCTCATAGCCCTTCAAAGAAGTAACAACTATAGAAAGGTGTGGCTACTGAATTTATTTTCTGGGCAGTATGGTAGGAGGAGAGTAATGTGAAGAGCTAAGGGAAAGATATTTGAGTAAAAAAAAAGTTAGGTAATATTCATGAGTTTGTCATTGATATCATATAGACATGCAAATGTTATCGCATACTGGATAGGGCTCAGAGCAGCTTCCAGGACCCACACTGATTTACACCAGCATTTCTAGGCAATTCTGTAAGTCCTGCAGCCCCTCAAGGTTTTAGAAATCCAGCTTCTGTACTGGCTCCTTAATGTCTAAGCTTCTGTTCTCTTCTCTCTGTAAGCAAGATAATAGTACCTACCTCACAGAATAGTAGCCAGAATTCAGCAACCTACCCTAGCACTCACTGTAGGCACTCAGGCAGTGATAGCTATTATTTATAATAGTACCAAGAAAAGTAATTAACAACAGGTTACTGTTCATATCAATTTTCAAGTTTTCAAACAGTCTTGATATTGGCTCTAGTATAACTCTAATTTATCAATACAATTGTGAACATTAGCACAGTTTTTCTTGTAGCAGTTCTCTAAATTCTTTTTCTACTCATCTACCTACCCTTTCATATTCCTGTCTTTTACCCTGCATAAACAAATTGTCCCTTTTTTTTTTTTTTTTTTTTTTTTCGAGGCAGAGTCTCGCTCTGTCATCCAGGCTGGATTGCAGTGGCACAGTCTCGGCTGACTGCAACATCTGCCTCCCGGGTTCAAGCGATTCGCTTACCTCAGCCTCCTGAGTAGCTGGGATTACAGGCATGTGCCACCATGCCTGGCTATTTTTTTTTTTTTTTGAGACGGAGTCTCACTCTGTCGCCCAGGCTGGAGTGCAGTGGCGTAGTCTCAGCTCACTGCAAGCTCTGCCTCCAGGGTTCATGCCATTCTCCTGCCTCAGCCTCCCAAGTAGCTGGGACTACAGGCGCCCGCCACCATGCCCGGCTGATTTTTTTTTTTTGTATTTTTAGTAGAGACAGGGTTTCACCATGTTAGCCAGGATGGTCTCGATCTCCTGACCTCATGATCCGCCCATCTTGGCCTCCCAAAGTGCTGGGATTACAGGCGTGAGCCACCGCACCCGGTCCCAGCTAATTTTTATATTTTTAGTAGAGATGGGGTCTCACCATGTTGGCCAGGCTGGTCTCTAGCTCCTGACCTCAGATGATCTGCCTGCCTTGGCCTCCCAAAGTGCTGAGATTATAGGCATGAGCCACTGCACTCAGCCAAATTGTCCCTTTTCTAATCAGCACTTCTACCCCCACACCACTGTGTTGCTATTGTAAACAATGCAGATGGTTGTTCAAGTATTCTGTGAATGCAAGCGAAACATAAGCTAACATGGAGAGATGTTTCTGGAAAGGTGTGAACAAATTGAGTCAAACCCGCATGTACTCAGAGCATGCATTACATAAAGGAAACTCGAGGTGGGCTCTCTTATAAAATGTACAGTCTTCTCATATCTGTCATATAAAGACAATTCACTTGTTTTACAGCTTCATATAGTTAAAGAAACTCATGTAATTTGTCTCAAGTGTTTAAGAAAGTCTTCATTTAATTAAAAAGAAAAGTACAGTTCATAATATAACAGAGCCAGGTCTGCCATTTCTTTGTTCATATTTCATCGTTTCGTGCCAGTCAAACTACCTGTCCTGTGACAAGTGGAATGGAGCTTGCATGTTCCCTATTAATTGATAATGGTGTTAACAAGGGTTTATTATATCTACTCTAGAAACTTTGGAAATACAGTGATTCTTAGCTATTCCCTGGCAGATCTCAATATTCTCTAAATTAGACTAACATTTTACCACAAAACTCGAATGGTAATTGCCTTCTTCCAATTTACCAAAGAACTTAAGTTGATAGTTAGAATCCTCTGTGCAGTACATGTGTGAACACATATGTGCATGTACACATGCATAAATTAGTATCAAAGACATGAACAGTTTCAACTTGTTCAGTAAATTGGGCAGTTGATGTCAGGGCACATGTAGAAGTTGAATTTTCTTAATATTCATTTGCTCTGCTGCTGCTTATACTTGCCAGCGAATAATATTAAAGGAATTCCTAAAATAGCTGTTCATTGTTTGATTAACTGCCTCTTGTTCTTGTTTTTCATTAACATTTGCTAATGCTGTTATAATATAGTGCTTTCTAACTCTTTTCATGACAGGACAGGACATATATATATGTGTGTGTGTATATATATATATGTATGTATATATAAAATATACACACACAGTTATAATGTTTATATGGGACACTGGGGTAAAGGGCTCAGGAATTTGCCCAGAGGCTGAGGCGATGAGCACACACGGACCCTCTTCAAGGTGTACCGTCGTACGCTGTGCACAGCCTGAGAAGCTGTAAGGTGCCACATCGCAGACATCATATAGTCCTGATTTCTGCTAGCAACATTGTTTCCGTGATCTTATGATCATTAATCACCAGTGTTCTGTTTCATCATCTACAAAAGAGCACTGTTACTCTCCAGCTGTTCCCCTTCCTGATGAACTTGCGAAAGTGGAGAGAAGGATATAAACTCAGAAGTGTCTTTGCTTGGTGGGTAAATTAGGTCTCCTTGCTATGTTCCTTCTGCAACCAAATAACTTTCTGCGAACACTTAATGCAGAGCTTGATACCCTGAGGGTTCAGAAGGGAAGAGACCATCAGGCAGTATGGTCTTTGCCTCATTTCTAAAAAGCTTCTGGTTATATCTGAGCTGAGCTGCTTCTAAATGCCAGGGCCTCCCTTGACAATGTTTCTTTTTTCTCACACGCTCCTTTCAAAAGGACAAGACACATTTAAAGATACAATTAAATATATTGAAGTTACAAAGCAATTTAAAGAAATTAAGCAATAAGACACACCCAAATATATGTTACAAAGGAATTTAAAGAAATTAAAGTAAATAGAACATTTTCCTCTTTTATTTGCATTGAAATAAAGTATTATTTCTTTACTCCTAGTATGTTATTGGAACTGTGATATACTTATTTAGAAAAAAAAGGTACTGAATCCTGGAATTCAAACCTAATCTTAGGTTTGAGTCCCAGAACTACCACTTATCCAATGAAATGAACAAGCATAGTTATTGTTTAAGCCTTCTCAATAAAATGGGACTGATGATACCTGAGGAGATCTCATGTATGAAAATATTTTGTCCAAAAGCAAAAGGTAAATACAATTGGTTTTTGTATTAAAAGGGCTCAATGAGCCCTCCAGTCCAGTGGCAGCTGCTTGTAGGAATTCAGACACTCAGTTGGTGAGGGCAGCTCTGGTGATGCCAAGTTGACGTGCGCCCTCCCTCTTTATTTCCTCCCTCGCCCTGCAGAGTAACCTGATCCACTACCTGGGACTGAGCCATCACCTGCTGGCACTGAATTTTATCATTGTTTCTTTTGGCAAAAAAAGCGCGTGGTCTTCTGCCCAAGTGAAGGTGACCGACACAGACTTTGATGGTGTGGAAGTCAGAGTGTTTGAAGGCCCTCCGAAGCCCGAAGAGCCACTGAAACGCAGCGTCGTTTATATCCACGGAGGAGGCTGGGCCTTGGCAAGTGCAAGTGCGTCCTGGTCACCTTCAGATGGTTTGTTGTTGTGGTTGGCCTTGGGGGAGATGCGTAACTGAGTTTGGCTTTCTTAGTGGGAAAGAAGGGGACCATTTATCTAGGTTCCCCTGGATGGTCCCAGTTACCCCTGTTGTCCCAGCAAAATTATGACTAGTGCCCCCTTTTCACTCTCAAAAGGGTCCTGGTTTGGGTGATAAATTAAATGGTTATCCTTTGTAAAGGTTTTTTGCTTGTTAGTTTGTTTGTCAATTCAGGTAGACTGTTGTAAAAATATTTCCTATGATCTAAATCACAGACTAACTTATTGTGCAGTGCTGATACAGCTTTCTGCACCAAAACAAGGTGAAGTTTCACCAGGCACGCATATGGGGAATTATCTGTGCTTCTTTTGCCAACTTGTGTTTTGAAGATATATTTCTATGAAATAGACCAGGTATTCCTTAATACACATGTTAACATTTTATCTGCTTATGAAAGCAAAGGTAAAAATATATGCAACCATTCAAAGGAAACAATCTTGCAAAGTTCAAGAATATTTTCTTTAGATTTGGATGATTTTTATGAGTAGAACACATTCAAAATGGCAGGCAGCCAAACAGAGCCGCCCAGAAGAGAACCTCCCAAGGCGGAATTCGGGGTCTTGTCTCTGCTAATAAATGATCATGGAGCTACTTCCTCATCTTCAGTCCAGAGCTTTTGGCATCCCCTTAGTTTAAAAGCAATGGCAACTTGTTTTTTTTATTTTATCATTATGTGATTTTTTTTTAAAAGCAACAAAGGTCAAAAGGTTTGACTTTTTCTAGTAATCTTATTTAATTCCATATCCGTTGTTTATTCTTTTATTCAGTGATTTTTTTTCACATTTTCAATAGCTGTTCATGAGTATGTAGGTTTGCCCGAGACCAAGGGGTTTGCTGGGCTGCAGGTCTTTCAGTGCAAAAGCTCAAACAGTTGTGGGCAAGTCTGGACCATTGGTCAGTCTAAGGTGTGCTCGGGTGTAGGGATACAAAAATGAATAAGAAGGAGTTTCTGCCTTAAAAGAGATTGAATCTGTAGCATTGGACGCTTGCCAGGAAAAACATTGTACTGGAGGACAGCAAGTATGGGTGCCAGGAATGGGATGGATTACAAGAGTCAGCCTGGCCTTTTCTGCATAATTTTGACTGATCACTTCTGCCTGAGGAAGAACTTGAGCAGGTGGAGGTAACAGGTGTCTATGTAATTCTTAAGCTTCCGATTCTAAGACTGCCTTGGAAACCCTATAAATAAGGAAATGTTTGGCTCTCAGTTGGCACAATATAGATCTTAATTTACTGAGAGTAACTAAGAATTAAATTCTTACATATTAAATTGGTTCTGTTACTGCAGACCTTTGGAATCCTCTAAGAAATGCTAAGACTTCCTAAAATTCTAGTTTTTTACGTGTTCATTTAAAGAAAATACCATATTCTTCAAATTGATCACTTTACTGAACTGCAGCAAATGAAGTGTTAAAAGAGCAAAATTGTTAAAATTATTATTTTTAGACATAAGATCTCACTCTGTCACCCAGGCCAGAGTACAGTGGCTCTATCACAGCTCATTGTAACCTCAAACTCTTGGGCTCAAGTAATCCCCCTTCCTCAGCCTCCCAAGCAACTGGGACTGCAGGCGTGCACCACTATGCCTGGCTAATTAAAAAAAATTTTTTTATAGAGGCAGCATCTGGCTATGTTGCTCAGGCTGGTCTCAAACTTCTGACCTCAAATGATCTCCTTCCTTAGCCTCCTGAAGTGCTGAGATTACAGGCATGAGCCACCACTCCCAGCCTAAAATTGCATGATTCTAAGGAAGAGACTGCTTATTTGCTGTGATTTTTTTTCCAGAAAGATGTATACATTTGAAGAGCTATAAAATCAGGATTAATTTGGTGCATTTCATATAGTCCGTTATGAAATAAATATTTAGATAGTAATATATTCAAAACTAAACTATGCATTTCCTGTTATATAGTAGTTGCATGTTATTAGAAATCAGATTTAATTTTTCATGTGTACATGTAACTCTATTATTTGTTCACATTTGCTTTTTATTATTTGTTTTTAGTATTAGCTCCAAGCCTAAAAACAATTCACACTTAGCAGAATTTATGAGTGGACAGTATTAAATGACCTGTTTTGTAATGATTGTTCCCTTTGTGTCTTTTAGAAATCAGGTATTATGATGAGCTGTGTACAGCAATGGCTGAGGAATTGAATGCTGTCATTGTTTCCATTGAGTAAGTAATTAATGCTAGTCATAGAAAATTTTTCTTATAAAGGAATTCTAGATAACAGTCTGGTTACTTTGTTTTACAAGTGATAAAGTAAAAAATAAAGGTCTCAAGTTGGCAAAGAGATATGCCCAAAGTCACACTCAGCATAATCAGAAAAATGATTTCTGATGTAACAAAATTTATTGAACTAGCTTTATAACACTTCAAATTACCTTTTCACCGTTAGTTTTGAAAACTGAAAAAAGGATTAACTAAAAACCTAGAGAAGTATGCAATCAGTTACCTGCAACATATAACTTTTTAAATCTAAAAAGTAGTAAGGATTTTAAGAGAATCTCTTCTACAGCTGAGAGTTGAAAAAGTTGCTCTCTTAGAGTCAGGTTCTATGACTTGTGCCTTGGGAACAGAAATACGTGTTCAACAAATTTTAATGGTGTGGTTAGTAGTAATAGTAGTAATATTAATATTTTGGGTTGTCTCTGTCAGTTCTGTATAAGCCACTTTTCTGGGCAACTAAGAAGAATGTGAATAATAATTATAATAATTTTGATGATAATAATAATACAACACAAAAATCACGCCATCTTTTTTGTACCAGGCATTGTGCGAATGCTTTTGCACACGTGTCTCTTCTTCTTTAGGTCTTTTTTAGATACCA